>NT_167245.2:2888876-3059722 GCF_000001405.40 Homo sapiens
TTGATAACAGCAGCAAGCTCCATCTGCTGTCCCCCCAAGCAGTGCAGGTTTAGGGCCAGGCATTCAAACAGGCCTTGGTTACACAACTCCAGCAACCGGGCCCCAAATCCACTATCTGTGGGCAAAATACAAGGAGGGAATGCTGGCACGTGGCAGCCCTGCACATGCAACAGGCCCCACTTGCCCCCGCCTGGCCAGCCCCTGACCTGTGCAATGCAGCACATGCGCAGCAATGCTATTAAACTGCTCTTGGAGAAATTCCAGGTTTGTCCGGATGATGTCCACACCTGGCTGAACCTGCACCAAGGACTGAGAGACAAGATAACACAAAGATCCCAAAATCAAGAATCATAAGACTGGGAGTGGAGGAGGCAGCTGCCTTGACCAGACCCAGGAGAGGAAAGGAATAGAGAAGGGTTACTCACAAAACTCTCCCGCACATACTCTTCTAGCCCCGTGATCAATGTGTGGGTTGCCATCTGTGGAGGAAACAGAACAGGTTTAGTTCAAAGCCTCAGTCCTCCCAAGACTTCCACCTCGACCCCAACAAGTCCAGGGCTTGTGTGGGGGCAATTGGAGCTTTACCTGGCAGAGAAGCAGTCAGAAATAAGGAATAAAATGTGCAAAAGAGGAGAGTTCTGGGGCCCCTGGCCTTCATTTACCCGGATGTTACTGGGTGTGGGCTCCTGACCACCCAGGTAGTGCTGGTGGAAGAAGGATCGCAGCTGGGGCTGGAGCCGTTGTAGTGGCTGGAAATGCCCATGGAGAAGCATCACTACGTCCACCATAGAGAAGTTCTGGCACAGAAGAGAAAGCAAGGCCCCAAAGAATCCTGGGGGACAAGGGCAGATGTTAGCAATGGCCTTTACCACCTGGCCTGCCCACCCACAACCAGATCATCAACCTCATCCCACCTTGGCAACACCCCTAAACCAAGGCCATCTACATTCCTCTGGCTGCCCCTTCCTGGAGCAAGCCAAAGCATCCTTTTTGCTCACCAAGGGCCCCATCAGCTCCAGGCTCAAAGATGTTGCTGGATCCACTGAGGCGTTGTATGAAGGCAGCAATACTTTCACTGCTGCCAGCCCGAGCCCCCAGGGAGCCCAGCAGGGAGCTGAGCACACCCTGCACCACTGAGGTAAAAAACTCCGGTGACAGGCTCTCAAGACCCAGGCCTCCAGGACTCCCTGCGCCACCAGAAGGGGAGCCTGGTGGGGGCATGGTCTGCTGCTCTGGGGCAGGTGGTGGGGGTGGAGGAGGTGGGGGTGGTGGAGGGGCTGTCTGTGTTGCCTGGCAAATAAAGAACAAAGAACAGAAAGTGAGGTGAGAATGAAGACACACGGAAATAATACGGCATCAAGAGGGCACAAACCAACGGGTCTGGGAAGATGGGGAGTTACATTCTGATCTTCACTGCTTAAAGCAGAAGTATGGTAGGTATTTAACAGAGTCAGGCAGCACAACTTACCTACCTCTTCCTCTGAACAGGTTGTCAGAAAGCAGTGACACTAATTACTATACTTTCTTTTTCTAAACCTCATTTTCTTCATCTTTAAAATGAAAGGTTCAGAGTCAATGAATTCCCAGGGCCCCTTCCCCTAACATGTCACTAGGGGCTCTTACCCAGTGGTTATGTAATGGCAAGAAGGTACCACTGCCTGGCTGGGCCGGGGGACAGGAAGATGAGGTGAATGGCAAGCCAGCCACTCACCTGCAAGAAGTCAGTCATGCCTTGGAGAAAGGCAGGGACACCAGGCATCGCCACAGTGATGGTGGGAGAAGCCACACCAGGCCCTCCAGCCCCTGGCCCTGCAGGCCCTAGCAGGTTCCCCAGAAGCTGAGAGAACTGAAGATCAGCCATGGAGGGTTGAGGGGTGGGTGGAGGCTGGGCAGGCCCCCCAGGAGCGGGGCCAGCTGTGGTAGCTGTGTTGGTGGTGCCAGCACTGGCAGAAGCAGTGGCAGGGGCTGGCGGTGGAGCCATACCTGGGGTCCCCTGAGCTGTAAGAAACCAAAAAAAGAAAGCTGGGCTGAGCATGGTGGCTCTTGGCTGTAATCCTAGCAACTTTGGGAGGCCAAGGCATGAGAACTGCTTGAGCCCAGGAGTCTAGGCCACATAGCAAGACCCCATCTCTACCAGAAAAAAAAAAAGACAATTACTAGCCAGGAGATAGTACTGCTAGCTACTCAGGAGGCTGAGGTGGGAGAACTGTTTGAGCCCAGGAGTTCAAGGTTACAGTGAGCTTTAACTCACTGGATTGCACCACTGCACTCCAGTCTGGGTGACAGAGCAAGACTCTGTAACTTAAAAAAAAAAGAAAAAAGCTGGCCGGGCACGATGGCTCAAGCCTGTAATCCCAGCACTTTGGGAGGCCAAGGTGGGTGGATCACAAGGTCAAGAGTTCGAGACCATCCTGGCCAACATGGTGAAACCCCCTTCTCTACTAAAAACATAAAAAATTAGCTGGGCGTGGTGGCGTGCACCTGTAGTCCCAGCTACTCAGGAGGCTGAGGCAGGAGAATCACTTGAACCCGGGAGGCAGAGGTTGCAGTGAGCCAAGATTGTACACTGCACTCCAGCCTAGCAACAGAGTGAGACTCCATCTCAAAAAAAAAAAAAAAAAAAAAAAAAAAAAAAAGCTGAAACCTGAAGACACAAGACACTACAGCAGCCCCATTCCAGGAAAGCAGGAACCAAGAAAATATGGAAAGAACTGGAAAGTGCCAGTGAGCAGACTAGGAAAGGAGTTTAAACTCTGAGTGGGGAAGAATGAAAACTCACCCACAAGGACTGGCTGCATAAGAAGCTGCCCCACAAGGCCGCTCACCATCTGGGCCAACGAGGCATTGGTACCCAGACCGGCGCCCTGCTGGATAGAGAGCAAGGGAGAACTTCAGACCTGCCCTTCCATGCACCACCACAGGAGTCTCTCCCTAGACTGTTACGCACTAGAACTCCCCGACCCTTGCTCACCAGTGTCCCAGAGACTGGGGGCCCTCCAGGATGGGAAGGCCGAGCCTGTGGAGGAGTGGGCCGGGCAATCACCACCCGGGTTGGAGCTGTTGGGAAGCCTGGCACCTGCTGTCCTGTGGGTGGCAGAAGAGACAGACCGAAGAGGGCTGAGGGCCAGGCCCTTGCCAGCCAGCTGCCACCATGGACTGTGCCCTACCTCCCAAGCCTCCCCTTCCAGGTCATTACCTGCGGCCGCGGAGGCAACAGCTGCCACCATGGCCTGATGAGTGATCTGGTGGGCGACGGCGTGCATGAACTCAGGGGGCAGGGAGGGCAGCTGGATGAGGGTGGAGCCTGGGGGGCGGGTCTGATGTAACCTTGAACCTGGACCCCTTCAACCCACCCACTCAGCCCTTCCCTTTCTCTACCCAGAGCTCAGCCTGCCCTGATGCCCTCACTCTTACCCAGGGTTTGGCCATGACCAGGGGGTCCCAGGGGGCCAGTGGGAGCACTCGGAACACCACCAGGCTGTGTGCCAGAATCTGGGCAGGGAGACAGAGACAGTGGCCCTGAGGTAGGTAGGGCCAAGGCCTAACTATATCCTTCTGAGATCAGGCATACTTCAGGCCCATAATCCCCCAATCAGAAAGCCTGCCTTTCCCTCCATCTAAACAGGGAGAGGTACTCCCTTCACCACACAAACACACCTCCAAAGACAAACCAACCCCCACACCCCCTCCATCTGTCTACTTAAGCTTCTGCTCTGGTCCCCAGGCTACCACCACCAGCATGTGCCTCTCCCTTCCCCACCCTGTTCCCTCACACCTCAGCATGAACCTCCCTCATCATGCTGATCCTGCTCTTCTCGCCAGCAACTATTCTCACCTTGAATGTTCATGTGCATCATGACCACGGGTTCCACACTCTGGTGGGAAATCCGGATGACCCTCGGGTGGCTGGTGGCTGGCGGGGGAGCTGGACCTGGCGGGGGAGCCCCCTCAGCTGAGGACTCGACATTGGTAGAAGACGGAGCCACGGATGAGGCCTGCCCAGGACCAGGGGGAGGTGCCTCTGCATTGGGAGTTGGGGGGGGCCGAGTCCCATTTCCTGTCATGGTCACAGTGGTTCCCACATTGATCTGAAAAAGACAGATGGACAGGCAGATGTGAGAAAAATACAAGAGCCTAACCAAGAAAACCTCATGATAAACCTCTAAAGTATCTCCAGCCTTCATCACCATGTTTCCAGTCTCCTCCTTTCCTAACCTCCTTCAGGCCCAGTAGCTACCCTGGGTCACTCTATCAACACCCCTCACTCTCCCTCAGGCCAGACTCCCCCTAACCCACCTGTATGGGAATGGCTGCCTGCTGGAGCACCATGGGGGTGGTGTAGTGAGACATAGGCCGGACCACATGCAGGTGTCGTGGGGGCGTGCAGGCCAGATTGCAGCGCAGGTCAGACAGTGCAACAAAGGTGTTGCCCAGCAGTCGCAGGCTCTCCCCTACCAAGTTGATCAACCGCTGATCCTCCTCCCGGCCCTCGTGCTGCGCACAACCAGCCAAACACAAAAAGGCAGAAAATATCAAGCTGGAGTCCATCTCACTAATAAAAGCAATAATGCCTACTGAGAATACCATGTCCTCCAAAACTTTCAGTTATATCCTTGGAAGTTTACATGTAGACCAAATCTTTGCAAATAAATTATATCTTATTCACATAAGGAACATCCTATTAAAACACTACTATGAATCAGTAAGTCATCATATACTGATCTCCTGTACTTTACATTTTCTAAATTCATTCAGGGGCACAAGGGGTACGATACGAGGACAGTGCTTACAGCAAAGATTATCACCTTCTCTGTAAGGGAGGACAAAATCACTTACAGGTTTAGAGAGAAACTGTTTTGTTGCAATGTGTGTTTTTTTGTTTTGTTTTGTTTTTTGAGACAGTCTCGCTCTGTCACCCAGGCTAGAGTGCAGTAGTGCAATCTCGGCTCACTGCAACCCCCTCCTCCCGAGTTCTAGCGATTCTCCTGCCTCAGCCTCCTGAGTAGCTGGGATTACAGGTGTGCACCACTACATCCAGCTAATGTTTATATTTTCAGTAGAGATGGGGTTGCACCATGTTGGCCAGGCTGGTCTCAAACTCCCGATCTCAGATGATCCGCCCACCTTGGCCTCCCAAAGTGCTGGGATTACAGGCGTGAGCCACTGCACCTGGCCCTGTTGCAATGTTTTTCCAGGGAGGGAAAGAGTTATCTGTATTTCAGCCTGTTCTGTTTTGGGAGTACTGGGGCTGAGGAGAAAGGGCAGGGCCATCAAAGGGCTCACATTGTTATTGTAGTCCGTGGTGGCAGCAGCACCCAGAACCTCGTAGTAGCGCTGCAAGAAGGGCTGGAGGCGACTCTCCAGCCGCTGTAGCTCCTGGAGCACCTCGACATACTCCGCAGGGGAAGGATGGCTGTGGACAAACCCAAGGGGCAATGAGCCAAAGCCTTCCTCAGATTCCCACCCTCACAGTCAACAGGGACCACATGTGCCCTCTTTCTCCCTGGTCTCCCAGAGCCCTGGCCCAATCCTTCTCTGGACCAGCAGAGCTTCTATTCTCTTCAACCTCCGCCTCCCAGGTTCAAACGATTCTCCTGCCTCTGCCTCCCAAGTAGCTGGGATTAAGTTGCCTGCCACCACACCCGGCTAATTTTTGTTTTTTTTTTTTTTTTTTTTTTTTTTGAGACAGAGTCTCGCTCTATCACCCAGGCTGGAGTGCAGTGGTGCGACCTCAGCTCACTGCAAGCTCCGTCTCCTGGGTTCACACCATTCTCCTGACTCAGCCTCCCGAGTAGCTGGGACTACAGGTGCCCGCCACCATGCCCAGCTAATTTTTTGTATTTTTAGTAGAGACGGGGTTTCATCATGTTAGCCAGGATAGTCTCGATCTCTTGACCTCATGATCCACCCACCTCGGCCTCCCAAAGTGCTGGGATTACAGGCGTGAGCCACTGTGCCCGGCCTGTATTTTTTAGTAGAGACAGGGTTTCACCATGTTGGCCAGGCTGGTCTCGAACTCCTGACCTCAGGTGATCTGCCCGCCTCTGCCTCCCAAAGTGCTGAGATTACAGGCATGAGCCACTGCACCCAGCCAAAGCTTCTATTCTTTACTCCCACCCATGAGAGGATAGGGAGAAGAAAATGAACTGCTCCCACCCTCCCCACCACAATCCTGCACCTACAATGGTGAAAGACTAATTCTAAGAAAGAGAGCAGGCCTTCGTGAACTCAGAGGAGAATTCCGATCAGGCTCAGGAGATACCATTTGGATTTCCTTGCCGTAGGGAGAGCAGCAGTTCTTCTCAGCTGCCTGTCCTAGCGTCATTTACCTATACCGAGAGAGCCCCTCCTCGCCCCTCAATGCTAACCCTTCAACTAAGACCTCCAAGTAATCCTTTCCCTCCCTTGCCATGGTTCATTTCCTTCTCCCCATACTTCACTTAGGATTCCCCACCCACTAAAGATTCCCTCCATCTCTCACTTGGGTGCATTTGTTTCCGGGGCAGGTGTTGGGCCCGCTGGGGCTGGGCCAGGAGTGAGCTCCGGGTTCTGGGCTGGGGCACGCTCCTCCACTTCTTCTGCCTCCATGGGCTCCCGGGGAGGTGCTTCACTTTCAACTGGTTCTGATGTTTGAGAGCTCAAGGCTACTGGCTCCGGGGTCACAGCCGGTGGCTGCGGGGGCGGCTGACTGTGCTGCGGTTGGGGCCCTCCTCGACACTGAAGGTAGGGGAGAGTCAGGATACCAAAGGCAGGGTAAGACTGCTGCAGAGGATTACTCTACAGGAGACTGAACAGAGAAAGTATCCTAACTAGACTCCCTGAAGGCATGGCTCTGCAATTTTATCTCCGACTCGCTAGCAACTAGCATAAGACTGACACAAATTAGATGCATAATAAGCATCTGTAATTTTTTTTTTTTTTTTTGAGACAGAGTCTCGCTCTGTTGCCCAGGCTGGAGTGCAGTGGCATGATCTCAGCTCACTGTAACCTCCGCCTCCCAGGTTCAAGAAATTCTCTTGCCTCAGCCTTCTAAGTAGCCAGGCCTACAGGCGCGTGCCACCACACCCAACTAATTTTTGTACTTGTAGTAGAGACAGGGTTTCACCATGTTGGCCAGGCTGGATTGGAACTCCTGACCACACGTTATCCCCCTGCCATGGCGACCCAAAGTGCTGGGATTACAGGCAGGAGCCACCACACCCGGCCACAGCATCTGTAATATTTGTAAATAAATTTCTAACAAAGAGTAGAGATTGTGGTTTCCTTTCCTCCACAAGTTGGTTTCCCAGCCTCCACAAGTTAAGAGAGTAGAATCCTTTAATTGAAAAGAGATGCCATGAGACTAAGTCTGAAACAAACTCCCCAGATACCAGGCACCAAGAGGATTGGCAGAAATGAGAGAGCCTCACAAAGATACTTTTTCTGCCCAAAAGAATGAATACTGCAGAGAAGACTAGATTATGAAGGCCAAACCCTGTGGATGTGGCCAGTGAAGCCCTAACTCCCAGGCTGAGAGAAAAGGGAGAGGGAGGGTGGAGAGAGACCCTAGCCAGCCTTGCCCACTTACCTCCATCCGGGATAGTAAGGTCTGTATATCCCTGATCATGTGCTGAGCCATCACCAGCCGTACCCGGGGCTCACTCTACAATGAGAGAAGGTTTATCAGGGTAGGTTACAGATGAAGCCATGAGTTCTACCACCTACTAAATCAGGTCCCAGCCATCTCTCAGCCAGGTCCACCCCACCTCCCAGCCTCCTTCTCCCAGATCCCCTTCCCTGACCCTCGGAGGCCCCTCAATACCTGAATCGGGGCCTGTTCCATGTTGATGTGAACATCCACAGCAGAGCCGTCACTCTGGGGAAAGGGTAAGGGAAGTTGTTCTGGGAGAAGCCAACACTAAGGCCTCCACACCTCCAATTCATTCCCTGGAGCCCTACCTCCTTTTCTCCTTAAAGACTGAGACCAATAGCACACCACAGGGCCCCCTGAACCCAATCTAAAGATGGAAGCATCTATCTTATTAATTCCCTGGTGCTACCACAACCAAAGCTACCCACAAAAGCCCTCCCCTGTGGAACATAAGCTTACAGGAAGATTGAAGGTTCCAACCATGACATAGCTGTTGGCATTCCGGTCATGAACAGAGGCCCCAGGCCCCCGAGTACCAGGGGGGGATCCCCCACCATGAGTGGCTGAGGCAGACCCCGTCCCAGAAGATGCCCCAGAAGGGAGGTGAGTCTGAGGAGGAGCCCGTTCCACCAGGTGGATAACCTTTCCCCCAACATCTGCAGAAAAATAGACACACACCAAAACATAGTATGAACAGGTAAACCCATGGCCTCAGTTCATCCCTCCAGACAGTAGCCCCAACCTCTGAACTGCCTCCCCAGCCCCCTTACTGTATTCCTGAAGCTTCTTATCATCTTGCAGAACTCGTCCCTGGTAAATGAGCCGTTGTTTTTCAGATGGGATGCTGACAGAGGCAGCAATGTGCTCCTTAAACTCTTTTACATTCATCTGAAAAGAAGAGGCATGCACAGGAATGGAAAGAATGGAGGAAAGAGGAAGAACAAAGACAGACAACCGAGTTGTGGAGGTGAGGGGTAAAAACCACCACAGAATCACTACCCGTTTGTCTTGACCGTGAGATCATTACTGTGCAAACCCTTAAACTAAAGTAACAGCTGTCAAAATACAGACAATAAATTTGGCTTGGCGCGGTGGCTCACACCTGTAATCCCAGCACTTTGGGAGGCCAAGGCAGGCAGATCACATTAGGTCAGGAGTTCGAGACCAGCCTGGCCAACATGGTAAAACCCCTTTTTTACCAAAAATACAAAAAAATAAGCCAGGCATGGTGGTCGCCTGTAATCCCAGCTACTAGGGAGGCTGAAGCAAGAGAATCACTTGAATTCGGGAGGCGGAGGTTGCAGTGAGCCGAGATCGCATCACTACACTCTAGCCTGGGTGACAGAGAGGGACTCCATCTCAAAAAATTAAATAAATAAACTTAATGAAGCTCAGGTTATAGATCCAGGAAAAATAACACGGATGAAAAACAAAAAAAAAACACATGGACATTATATTATCTGTCTGGCATCCAAGGGAGTATGTGTCTAGAGACATCAGTGACCCCTTTCCAAACACAAGATGATACCAGTTTATTTACCAGACTCTCCTGTGATTTCCAAGATTAAAAAATGGCAAAGAAGATGGGGTCTGGTATCAGGTTAATGAAGAAAGACTAAGAAGATAAGAAAGCAAAAAAGGTCCCAGCACAGTGGCTCACACCTGTAATCCCAGCACTTTGGGAGGCCGAGGCAGGTGGATCACCTGAGGTCAGGAGTTCAAGACCAGCCTGGCCAACACGGTAAAACCCTGTCTCTACTAAAAATACAAAAATTAGCCGGGCGTGGTAGTAGGCGTCGTCTGTAATCCCAGATACTCAGGAGGCTGAGGCAGGAAAATTGCTTGAACCCAGGAGGCAGAGGTTGCAGTGAGCTGAGATTGCGCCCCAGCCCTCCATCCTGGGCAACAAGAGCAAAACTCCATCTCAAAAAAAAAAAAAAAAGCAAAAAGAGAAATATTTTTCCTAACTACAAACTGACTCTTGGGAAGTACCAGAGTATTTATATACATCTAATCACAAGTCTATATATGGCTTTCTTATATCCAGGTAATATCACATTTTAGAAAACCATGGACCACCCCACATGCAATTTGTCTCCAAGTATTACAGGAGTAAAGACACAGATAGCTATGTCCAAGGCTTTAAGCTCAAGAGACTCAAGCTATGCCATAAAAATTAGTAATTTCACTCAACAGTCTATCAAGGCCCTATCTCCATTATGGGTTCTGATTTCTACCCTTTAAAAACACAGCATAGACCTGACCAATGTCTATCAGTAAGACACACTTGCTTAGGGTTCCTGTGCTGTTTCCCTTCCCAAAGGCCAGAGCCATGCCTGTCCCTTTGGGTTGGGGTCCACCCATGATGATGACACACAGATTCTTCCTTCCTCTGTATTTCCCTCTGCATTAAGTTCTATCCATGTGGAGGACAGAACAAAATCAGCCTCACTCACAAAACATCAGAAAACGTTCTACTGGAATACGAACAAAGGGATCAATAAAAAGAAAATCTGAGGCCAGGTGCGGTGGCTCATGCCTGTAATACCAGCACTTTGGGAGGCCGAGGAGGGCACATCACCTGAGGTAAGGAGTTCGAGACCAGCCTGACCAACATGGTGAAACCCCGTCTCTACTAAAAATACAAAAATCAGCTGGGTATAGTGGCACACGCCTATAATCCCAGCTACTCAGGAGGCTGAGATAGGAAAATCGCTTGAACCCAAGAGGTGGAAGTTTCAGTGAGTCGAGATCGCGCCACTGCACTCCAGCCTGGAAGACAGGGCGTGACTCCATCTCAAAAAAAAGAAAAAAAAAGAAAATCTGGTGACCAGAAAATCAAGCTCATCTCTCAGGCTAAGGGGCCTAAACGAGGAAAAGCTAAAGGTGTCTTCCAGAACTAGTGAGGTGTCTCACCTGGGCCCCCACAATAAAGGTACGAGTTTGAGAGTCCAAGGTCTTCACCAACACCTCCAAGCTGTCAGGCTCCTCCACAGCGGTACTGGTACTATCATTAGGCTCCATGGCCGACAGGTCTCTAAAGAAGAACGAAGGAAGGAAGGCCCGCTGTTGCCCAGACCAGAGTGTACCCGAAAGACTCCCTAGCATTAATCCCTGCCCCAATACCTAAAAAGTTTCTCCTGCACACACACACATTCACACCTGTCCCCATCCCCCTTCTGATTCCGGGGCACAGGGAGAGAAACACAAAGGGCAGGAGATCGACGGCTTAGGGAGCTGGAGGACGAGAGGTGGGAGGGGCTCCACGACGCCAATCACAATAAGCAGGGAGCCAGTCAGATTAGGAAGGAAGCACGAGACCAGAGACTAGTGTCATCACCGGTCACGGCAGGACAAGCGCCCCAGAGGTCGGAAAATCCTGGGACAACGCGAAAGCGGTGGTCGCCCCACACTCTGCGGAGAAAGTGGTTTCGCGCACGCGCGCCACGCCCATCGAACCCTCCTAACTCACTATAGACCCGAAACGGCACTCACGGGGCGACAGACCTGCTAGCTGACTGCCCGCGTCTACTGCCTTCCCACGGTGTTCCAGCAGAACGGCACAACTAACCCACAGCCAAACACACACACACACACACACACACACACACACACACACACACACCCACCACCCCGCGGCTCCGCCCCCGACTTCCCCACGGACCGTCACTTCCGGTCTCCCCCAAACCTGCCACCGACGGCCACTTCCGTTTCCCCGATAGTATTTGGGGATCTCGAAGCGATACTTCCGGCTCCCCCCAGGTCCCCAAGCTTTACTTTTGTGGGGCACGACGAGAAAGTCCGCAGCCCCAAACAGTGAGTTTCTGAGGGCGAGTCGGGCCGGGGCCGGCCTAGGTGGGAGGGAGCCGAGCACCCCGAGGAGCCGCCACCGCTGTCGCCCGGGGGACCGTACTACGCCTGCGTGCGTCGCACTACGGATGCGTGGACACTTAAGCATCGCCCCACCCCCTCCCCCCTCTGGCGGCGTTCACGTCTGTGCGCGCGCTTGAGCGCTAGAAGATTGAGGTGGCTACCGTAAATGCCTGAAAAACAGTCACCAGCTGGGACTCTACCACTGCCTCGAGAGGGGCTATGGACGGTCGTATGGACCTTGGACTTTGGAGATGGGGGATTATGCCACATTCATCTATGTTTAAATCTTGGCAGGCTGATAATTTCAGGCGGCACTGTCCTAGCCAGCTAAAACTCTTCTCCACCCTATTGCCCTCGCTGCGCCCTTTCTTCTGTGCCTCCGGAAGTTACTCTTTCAGTAGGCGTTTGGGGGCGGCACTGGTCAATTTTGTTCTCGGTTGCTTGGTTGGGCTAGATTTCGGTTCTGCCGGGTGGGCGTTTTAAGGGCTGTGGGCGTCACATTCGTCGGTGTGTGGCCAAGGGGACATGACACGTTTTAGGAAAAGTAAACGTGCTACTAAGTTGCACGACTTGTCAAGAAAAGAGGCGCTTCCGAGTTTGAGAATTGGGAGCAAATGGAGTCCGAGTGGACAGAAAGACAAGACCCTGACCGTGGGGAATTTAAAGGCCGGCCAGCGTGCTTCCGAAGGCCGGGGGTGGAGGCATTACCGCCTCTCCGTGCCCTCTTCTCTTAACCTGCCCTGGGCCAAGGGCCTCGGCCCCGCGAAACTGCGAGTCCTCCAGAAAGACACATCGCTGTTGGGGTGTCCAACCTTTCTGGGATTCGTAGTTTATACCCAGGTCCTGGTTATATTTTAGTTAAGAGTTCTAATAAGCAGCTGTTTAATGAGCACTTGTGCCAGCCCATATACTACGGGTTTTGTGTATTATTTTAAAAAGCCTTTTAACGAGCTTTTAACATTTTTTAAGTGAGTACACTTAGACGAACATAAGTGTCAGAATTGACAAATCCAGGCCTACAGGACTCCAGATCGAGCACTTGTACTTTACTGCCCCAATAAAAAGCTGTTAACATTTTAGCTTATTTTTTTGAGAGAGGGTCTCGCTTTGTCGCCCAGGCTGGAGTGCAGTGGCGCAATCACAACTCACTGTAGCCTCTGCCTCCCGAGCCCAACCGATCTTCCCACCTCAGCCTCCCTAGTAGGGACCACAGATGCACACCACCACACCTGGCTAATTTTATTTTTATAGAGATGGGGTCTTGCTATGTTGCCCAGCCTGGTCTTGCAGACTTGGCCTCCCAAAGTGCTGGGATTATAGGTGTGAGCTACTGTGCCTAACCACATTTTAGCTTTTTATTACAAAAATTTTCGGCCGGGCGCAGTGACTCACACTTGGGAGGATGAGGCGGGTGGATCACGAGGTCAGGAGTTCAAGACCAGCCTGGCCAAAATGGTGAAACCCCATCTCTACTAAAAATACAAAAATTAGCCTGGCGTGGTGGCGGGCGCCTGTAATCCCAGCTACTTGGGAGGCTGAGGCAGAGAATTGCTTTGAACCCGGGAGGTGGAGATTGCAGTGAGCCAAGATCGCGCCACTGCACTCCAGCTTGGGCAACAGAACGAGACTCCCATCTCAAAAAAAAAAAAAAAAAAATTCAAACATTACACCAAAATAGAACAGTATTAATAAACTCTAATATACTGGTCACCCAAATTTTGTTTGTTTTTTAACTAAATCGCAAGCCTCAGCCCTCGGCAAATTTTTTGTGGCAGTCCATGGGATATAAATTTATCAAGCTAGGTGTGGTGGCTCATGCCTGTAATCCCAACACTTTAGGAGGCTAAGGTGGGCCGACTGCTTGAGCTCAGGAGTTTAATACCAGCCTGGGGCAACATGGTGAAACTCCGTGTCTACAAAAAATTAGCTAGGCGTGATGGCGTGCACCTATACCTCCTACTCGGGAATCATCTGAGCCGGGGAAGTCAAAGTCATGCCTGGGCGACAGAGTGAGACCCTGTCTTAAAAATAAATAAGTAAATAAATAATCTATCGAGGAAGATCCATCTCTCACAGCATTAACTGCTCCAGTCACTTGGTGCTATCCAAGGACAACCTATTTGGCAATTCTTACTGCCTATTATTTGAGAACTTATTACCCACCAGAAACTAAGTGCTTTGCAAACATTACTATTAATTATAGCAAATATATACTTTGGACTTACCATGTGCAAGTCTTTGCTAAGGGCTTTATGTGCATTATTTCATTTAATCCTATAAGATTGATGATTTGCCAATTTTACAGATGAAAAAACAGACATAGCAGTTAGGGGTTGGTGGTGTTTTGTTTGTTTGGAGACAGAGTCTCTGTCGCCCAAGCTGGAGTGCAGTGGCACAATCAGGGCTCATTGCAGCCTCGACATCCCAGGCCCAAGCAATCCTCCCTCCTCAGCCTCCCTAGTAGCTGGGACTACAGGCGTGTGCCACCACATCGGCTAATTTTTGTATTTTTTGTAGAGACAGAGTTTTGCCATGTAGCCCAGGCTGGTTTTGAACTCCTGGGCTCAAGCCATCCGCCCACCTTGGCCTCTCAAAGTGCTGAGATTACAGGCATGAGCTACCTGCCCTGCCTGTAGTTAGGGTTTGGACACATTCTGCCTGACACCAACATCTATCCTCTCTAACAGCCAGATTACATAGCCTCTTTGTAGTAATAAATGTTGAGTGAATGTGTCAGTGAACACTGCCAGGGTATACATATTTTTCTAATTGTAAACTAAAGAGAGCAATCCACCGTGCCCCAGCACCTGCATCATACCTGTTCTAAAGCATTTACCAAGTTGTATTGCAATGGTTTGTCTACACAGCTAGTTTTCCCTCTAACGACTTCTTCAAGATCAGGGGCTATGTCTTATTCGTTTTTTTATGTCCCCGGGGATTAGCTAGTTCTTGGGAAACAACTGGGACTTGGGATTCAAAACAGTTTGCTAAGTGAATGAATGAGAGGCCCAGTCAAGCTACTTCCCTTCAGTGCTGCACAGTGCAACAAATAACCAGCTCAGATACAGGTTCAAAGACCACAGGCTTCTCCCTGGACAGCTCAGCTCTCCTCATAACTCCTGAGAAACCCTGGACATGCCAGGGTGTACTATGGAGTGGTTGCATCCGGAAGAGGGGGAGGAAGTCCCAAACACTAAGTAATCCAGGTTTGGGTTGGAAAACAAGGTTGAAGTTACTCATTAGCAGGTGAAAGGGTCAAGGGTCGAACGCAAGGGAGCTGAAAGCAGAGTGGACTGAGCAGCCAGTAGGGGAGAGAGCAGTTAAGGCACACAGAGCACCAGCTCCCTCCTGCCTGAAGATGTTCCACCAAATTTGGGCAGCTCTGCTCTACTTCTATGGTATTATCCTTAACTCCATCTACCAGTGCCCTGAGCACAGTCAACTGACAACTCTGGGCGTGGATGGGAAGGAGGTATGGACTGAGATTGGGGGAAGCCTATGGTGGAGGCTCTGAGGGACTTGGGTGGATGGCCTAGGATGACTGGAGACCATCTTGGGAAAGGAAGAGAGGAAGGGGGTGTGAGTGTTGTGATAATGAAAGCAAGAAGAAAAATATCAGTACTGTGGCCATCAATGCAGAGGCATGGCAGAATTGGGGGGTGGGGTGGTTACCCAGGTTGACTGGGGAGGGGCAAAGAGGAAAAGTCATTTAATGACTCTTTGTCATGGATCCAATCCCCAGTTGGAAAGAGGAAGGCAGCCAACACCTCTACCCCTAAATCTTGCTGTTTTGACTGATGAAGAGGTTGAACCCATCCTGTGCTGGAACCCACCCTCTTTTGCTCCCTTCATTGTCTCTCCAGTTCCCAGAGGTCCACTTGGGCCAGTGGTACTTTATCGCAGGGGCAGCTCCCACCAAGGAGGAGTTGGCAACTTTTGACCCTGTGGACAACATTGTCTTCAATATGGCTGCTGGCTCTGCCCCGATGCAGCTCCACCTTCGTGCTACCATCCGCATGTGAGTGGTAAGGAGGCAGAAGCATCACTGGGTTCAGTCTCTGCCCAAAGTGTGAGAATCCACCCACCAAGAGCTGGCCTCTTAGCTGGTATATCTACTATGCTTGGCCCACGGAATTCAGTGGCTGTATTAATTGCCCTCTGGAGAAAGATGTGCCTAACCAATGCTTGGTAGCTTGAAACCCAAGGAGAGCTGGGCTTCAATAACAAATACAATGGAGTAAATAGAAGCCGGGACAGGCCAGACGTGGTGGCTCACGCCTGTAATCCCAGCACTTTGGGAGGCTGAGGCGGACAGATCACGAGGTCAGGAGATCGAGACCATCCTGGCTAACACAGTGAAACCCCGTCTCTACTAAAAATATAAAAAACTAGCTGGGCATGGTGGTGGGCACCTGTAGTCCCAGCTACTCACGAGGTTGAGGCAGGAGAATGGCGTGAACCCGGGAGGCAGAGCTTGCAGTGAGCCGAGATGGCGCCACTGCACTCCAGCCTGGGCAACAGAGTGAGACTCTGTCTCAAAAAAAAAAAAAAGAAGCTGGGACACTATGGTTGGGGTGATGCTCATTCTTTCCTCCTTGCCACCACCACCTCTGCAGGAAAGATGGGCTCTGTGTGCCCCGGAAATGGATCTACCACCTGACTGAAGGGAGCACAGATCTCAGAACTGAAGGTTGGTTCTTCCCAGCCCTCACCCTCCCTTGAGTTTGGTTCTGCATCTCTGTTCTCATACTTCTCCCACCTGCCTTGACAGGCCGCCCTGACATGAAGACTGAGCTCTTTTCCAGCTCATGCCCAGGTGGAATCATGCTGAATGAGACAGGCCAGGGTTACCAGCGCTTTCTCCTCTACAGTGAGTAGGGATACAAGGCAGGAAGGGTTGGAGGGAAACAAGGGAGGGCAGGAGAACTCCTCACTCTGGGTCCTATGACACCCTCCCAGGAAGAGCTAGGTGCTTCCAGGGGTTTTGACTGGCCTGACCCCACCTTGCCCTTCCAGATCGCTCACCACATCCTCCCGAAAAGTGTGTGGAGGAATTCAAGTCCCTGACTTCCTGCCTGGACTCCAAAGCCTTCTTATTGACTCCTAGGAATCAAGGTAAGGGGTTAAAATCTCATAAAACAGGATTAGGACTCACCAAGTCTTCTGGTGTTACAGGGTGAAAGAGGCTCGTGTGATGTCACCAGAGGGATGTGGCTAAGAGCTGTGATGTCACCTGAGGGAGGCAGGATGGGTTCTGGGCTACTCAAAAGAGAGGTTTCTGAGTTTGCACTGGATAAAGGGGGCAGAGGGTCATACGTGGAGGGAAAAGAGCCTTAGAGACTCCCCTTTGACACAGGGAATGAAAGAACACGTTCTCCCCCACCCCATTACTATCAACTTTGCTTTTCTCCCTGGACTTCCCTTCTGTCCTTCTTTTTCCCTCCCCCCATCACAGAGGCCTGTGAGCTGTCCAATAACTGACCTGTAACTTCATCTAAGTCCCCAGATGGGTACAATGGGAGCTGAGTTGTTGGAGGGAGAAGCTGGAGACTTCCAGCTCCAGCTCCCACTCAAGATAATAAAGATAATTTTTCAATCCTCATCTCATTCTGGGGTTTGTCTCCAGACGTCATTCCCACTCCTCCCATTTCAACATTCCCCCTGGATCCTCTACCACCTAAACTCCCAGCTGGACGGTGTCAGTAAGAACAGAGTGGCAGTAACTCTCACTTTGTAGTGGTATATTTAGGATTTGATGTGACACAGTTATTTATTGCTGAGTGAGCAAACCCCTAGCCCCCAAGTGGGGACTACAGGCTTCAGTGCTTCCCCCACACTGCCTGAGCTACCAGCCCTTCTGCACTGGCCCTCCTGCCAATACTGCCTGCACTGTCCCCACTCCCTCTGGCTCCCATGATCACCAGATCCGCCCTGCAGGCTCCCTGTCACCTGTGGGGCCCTATCCAGACCCCCTAATCCACTTGCCTAGCAGCCCCACTCTTCCCTCGATGGCTCAGATCCTGAGATCCAAGGAACACCCTGGGTTTCCCAACCACTCTCTTACTGCAGAGGTCTGTCTATCCTGCCCTGGTCTCCTCCACCCCAGGAGAGTTTTCAAAGGTAGAGAGGACCCTTTGGTCTTTATTCACCACCATCATACTTTTTTTTTTTTTTGCTTTTAAAAAGTGGAGGTGGAAAAAAAAAAAAAACTGAAGGTGGGAGAAAAGTAAAAGCAAAAATAACAGCTGGTGAATCCAAGAGCAGTGCCCTCACTGTCCATAAACACAAACACCCTAAATAGTTCTGTTCTCTCCTGTGTATGAAGGGGGGCCCTGCACCCTCGTACTCGGGTTTCTTCCCCATCCCTGAGGTCCCTATGCTTACAATTTGGGTCATGCCTCACACTTTTCTCCTAAAGCCCACACTCTCTTCACCCTTTGCCCCCACCCCACGGTCACAGCCCCTTTCCCGGGTCTCCCCTCTGCTCCTCACCTTCCCTCTCCAACCCCTCACTCTCCCAGTCAGTGGCCGCCTCATCCCCATTGGGCTCCCGGAGGCTGACAGCCAGCACCAAGGCCTGCAGGAGACCAAAGAGGCAGGCGAAGTGCAAAGGGTGGGCAGTAAGTAGGCTCAGAACAGCATGGAGCCCATGCAGGGCAGCCAGGAAGGACAGTAGGCCATGTAGCCAGAGGCCCAGCGGTCCACGCAGGCCCAGTGTGTCCAAGGCTGCCCGCAGTGGTCGTGAGCACAGGGCCAGCAGGGCAGAGGCCAGCAGCTCCAGAAGATGCAGGGTCAGGTTGGTGGAGATCTGCAGACACTCTTCTGGGCCCCCCAAGTACCGGGAGGGAGCTCCTGGTTCCCCCCGCAGCCAGCCCAACAGCTTCTCACGCCTACCAGGTTTCTCCAATGGGGCTCCTGGCCCAGGGACGCTCAGTCCCCCTTCAGGGGACACCCCTGGTCTCCTGGTGCCACCTGAATCCACATGATCCCATCTGAGTTTGGGACTGGCCCCTCCAGCCTCCAGTCTCCCAGACTCTTGAGTGCTAGAGATAGGCTGGTCCCACTTGAGGGAATCCATTCTTTTGCTCCCTAGCTGCTCAACTTGGGGCTCCTCCTTGCTTGGTTCGGAAGCAGCCCTAGAAACCCTCAATGCCCCCGAGTCCTTAGTCTTGGGATGCCCCACATCTTCCATGGTTTCTGGGGCACTATCCCAGTCACTTCCTGAATTCTCCGAGGAGCTGTCCACCCGTCTGGGTTCTGGGTAAGGCGGGTCAGGCCTCATTGGTTTCCGGCGGCCCCAAGGGCGAGGTAGCCAGCCACCAAGCCGTCGCAGGAACATGGCTGGGGTGTGTAATGGGCCCCCAAATTCTGAGGCTGCTTCCTGGCACTACTCAGACTCTCAGGATCTCCTCAGAAGCCAGAGTCTTTCTGGCTCAGAACAGGTATTTGCCTGGTGATGCAGTCCTACTCTGAATTCAGAAGTGGCTCCTCCCTTCTCTGAATAGTCATGCAGCCTCAAGTGTGGCAAGTAGTTTGCTTCCTCTTCAGTTCTGGGGTAAAGGGGGGCATACCCAAATTCATTCACCATCCACACCCCCACAATCTGAGATTCCAAGAATCTCAGATCTGACAAGGCCTGGGTCACCACCAGAGAGTCCTCTCTGCGTTTCCGGATTTCCTTCCCAGCAGGCAGCACCCCAAGTTTCACTCACCAAGGCCACACCCCAAGGTGTCCCAGAAACTGGGGAGGCAGTGCTCCATCCAATAAAGCGGGCAGGAAGGTGGCCCCAGGTCCTAGGTGCTCCTGGATCGTGTAGTCTTTAACTGCTGTCCCAAGGGACCTCAAGGAATAGGAATTCTCTTTGTTAGGAGGTGGAATGAAAGTGTCCAGCAAACTCCAGCCAGCAGCGTTCGTCCCTTGATTTAGAGGGCTATGATTTCTACAAAGTGGCCCGACTGGCCCGCGAACACGCAGCAGAGACGCGGCCTCCACAAGGTCAGAACTAAGATGTCCTCAGAGATCCCCAGTTACGAAGCAAAGCGCGGGCCTACTTCGGGACCTACGCGTCCGGGCGCTGTGCGCGGGGACCGCTCCCGGGCCCAGCGTCGGGGCCGCGGCCTTGGGGAGCCGCCGGGAGCCGCGAAGCCCGGAAGCAGCTGCACCAGGACTGGAAGGACCCGCGGGGGCGGTGCCGCAGCTCATGGGGCGGACCCTGCGAATAGACCGCCCCCGTATACCCCGCGCTGTCTGTGCGCGCCGGACCGCCAAACCGAGATTAGCAAGGACCAGGACCTTAATATAAACCCAGCTCCCCATTTTCCCGGGTTTCTCATGCTTCCCTAAACTTGGTCGCCCCCTACAGCCCCCTGCCCCTGGGTTCTTTTCCACATCCCCCACCACTCCTCCATTTCGCATCCAAGACTTCATGAAAGGCTTTCCCAGAAAAGAAAAAATGAGGAGTCTTGCGACTTGAACAGCCCTCCCCTGCCCGTCTGCAAATTTGAATTCCTGGATTTCACAACAGTGAGCTCTTCTTGTGCCTACCACCCGGCATGAGCAAGACAAGGGGGTGGGTGGTGGGAGAGTGGGGAAGTGTGGGAAAGAAAAGTGTAGACAAATGGGTGGAACAAAGAAGTTTAAAGTTTAGATTTGGGGGCTAGAGTTCTGGTCCCAGTTCAACTAAGTGTACAAGCTTGATAATCGTGGGCCTTCCTATCACACTGGCCTCTTCCAGCAAAACCCTACCCATTCTCATCTCTAGAGGCCTTGACTTCCCTTATCACCCTGCATTATAATATTTGATAACATGGGCCGGGAGTGGTGGCTCATGCCTGCAACCCCAGCACTTTGGGAAGCCGAGGCCGGCGGATCACCTGAGGTCGGGAGTTCAAGACCAGCTTGGCCAACATGGAGAAACCCCGTCTCTACTAAAAATACAAAATTAGCTGGGCGTGGTGGGGCATGCCTGTAATCCCAGCTACTGGGGAGGCTGAGGCAGGAGAATCCCTTGAACTCGGGGGGCAGAGGTTGTGGTGAGCCGAGATCATGCCATTGCACTCCAGCCTGGGCAATGAGAGCGAAACTGCATCTCAAAAAAAAAAGAAAAAAATTGATAACATGGCACTTTCCCTCTCCAGCTGTGAACTCTTTGAGGGTTGGGAATGTCTTTACCTGTATTCTTGGCACATAGTATATGGACTTATGTTTGTGAAATCAGTGAATTGGCTGTAGTCAGGGAACTCCTCCTGGGGGAAGTGAGACTTGCACGAAGCTGGGCAATTCTTGGTCCAGGGGGGTTGAAAGAATAGGTGGGGGACTCCCAGGAGGGTCTGGGACCTGAAAGTGAACCCAGATTGGCAGGGAGGTGACCTTATCATGCCACCTGGAGAGGCTGCCCCTTCTGACTCAGGTGGGACTTGCATGTGGCTCCCAGGCTTCTGTTTGGCTTCCTCAAAATAGCTTCCAGAAAAGTGAATAAACCACAAATGGTTGATTTATTTCTGACTCTCAGCCCGTCTCTCACGAAGACAGAGCCTATTGACCAAAAACTTCAGGATCTGCATCTGAGCAGATCCCAGGAAGGGGAAGTCAAAGGGCCCAGGTCAGAGGCCCAAGTTCAGACTTCAGCAGCAGACTAGGGTCAGACTTTACCAAAGTCAGAACTCGAGGTTCATGTAAGTCCTTAGATCCCGCTCCCAAGCCCTGTCTTTCTCCTCCCTCCTTCTCTCCTCCCTCCAGCTCAGTGTGGCCACCCGAGGGGGTCTCTCCCTCCCAGCCACAGCTCGGGTATCCCAAGCTGGGAAATGTGTCACTCGGGGCTGGGGTGCTGATCTGTAGCCTAGTCCTTCCTGGTCCCTCTTGAGGACAGTGGGGATGGGATTGGCACGGCCCTCACCCCGGGGTCCCAGCCCCATTCCTGGCTCCCAGCCCCGCCTCAGCAGCAGTTTGAAGCCCGGGCTGGAGATGGGCACCCCAAGTGGAAGGTTGGGAGGCTGAGGACCCTGCGACAGTGACAGCAGGTGAGCAGTGGATGTGCGGTGGTTGGAATCTTGGAAGTGGGTGTCACAGTTCTCGCAGTACTGGAGGGAGGGAGTAGGAGACCTGCAGAGAAAGAAGAAAAAGCATTAAGGGCAGGGGAAGGAAAAGGGGAAGAGTTGAGGCCTCAGAGGGGGCTGGCAGGGTAGAATAGGATCTTTTCAGCTTTTCTGCTAAGGAACAAATTGCCAGCTAGGCATAGTGGCTCACGCCTGTAATCCCAACACTTTGGGAGGCAGAGGCGGGCAGATGGCTTTGAGCTCAGGAGTTTGAGACCAGCCTGGGCAAAATGGCAACGCCTGCTTTTTTTTTTTTTTTTTTTGAGATGGAGTCTTGCTCTGCTGCCCAGGTTGGAGTGCAGTGCCATGATCCTGGCTCACTGCAACTTCCACCTTAGCGATTCTCCTGCCTCAGCCTCCCAAGTAGCCGGGATTACAGGCACATGCCACCATGTCCCGGCAAAGCCTGCTTTCTACAAAAAATATGCTTGAGCCCAGGAAGCGGAGGTTGCAGTGAGCTGAAATCACACCATTGCACACCAGCCTGGGCGACAGAGTGAGATGAGTGAGACTTTGTCTCAAAAAAAAAAAAAAAAAAAAAAGGGACAAATTGCCTTCCTTCCTACTTAACAGTGAGGGATCCAGGCTGGTCCAAAGGTGGTGGTGAGTTATCTGAATTAATTGTTCACTCAGTTACAGATCAAACTCCTTACTCCACTTTTCCCCTCCTTCTCACTACTGCACTTGACTTGTCTTAAAAACAAATTTCTTTAAACCATTGTGGGATCCAGAGCAGAATAGTTGAAAGAAAAAAATGGTAACCAGACCTAGCAAACTCTTGGGCAAGGGGAGGGACATTAGTCATAATGACTATAGCTAACATTCATGTATTGCATACTATGCGGCATGCACTATTCTAGCATTTTACATATATTAACCCATTGAATCCTAACAACAATTCTTACTACCCCCATTTCTAAGATGAGAAAACTGGAACATGTAGACATTAGGTTGTTTGCCCAAGTAAGTGGAATCAGGCTTTAAATCCAGGGAGCTCATGTTTATAACCACTTGACTATACTACCCTGTCAACCTACACATGAGGATAAGGAAAGAACTCTTCAGCACTGTGCTGGGGCGTCTGGTGTGGTGTGGCTGGGAGAGGCAGAACACAATGAGACATGGGTCTGAGCTAAAGTTTCCCCTTACCGGTTTTCCGGGCTCCTTGTCTCTCCATGGCTCTCCCTGACCATGCGGGCTACCTCAGGGAAGCCAGCTTCTTCAGCGAGCTGAGCCGCATCCCTGCCACTCAGCTCACAGACCCCCACCCAGGCAGCCCCACGGCCCAGGAGATAGCTCACAGCTGCCCCCTGGCCCGCTCGAGCAGCACACATCAGTGGGGTCCACCAGAAGGCATCCCGGGCGTTGATATTCCCCCCAGCTCCTCCTGCCTCATGCGGTTCCAGCAGTCTCCTAAGTTCTGGCAGGTCCCCCTCCTGGGCTGCCCTCAGTATCCGGTGAGTCATCTTATCCTCAGCCTCAAGGGATCTCCCTTGTCCATGTCTTCCTGATGCTCCTTCTGCCACTGCTTCTGCTGCTGGTGCCTTCATTATTCTTCTTTTCTTTCTCTTTCTTTCTCTGGCAGGTTCAGTCTGAGATCTCTGGGAGTCAGGAGCGCTGCTCTCATCCCCAATCAGGGCCTCATAGAAAGCTCGGGCTGCAGCCCCATCCAGGGTGGACTCTGGCTTCTCGGGCTGTGGCTGCTGCTGCCCATCCTTCCAGAGGTCGCTGGGGTCAGTGGCTGGGGTGAAGGTGATGAGCAAGGGCCGGGACATGGCTTTTGGGAGAACTGAGAAAATGATACCAGGCAAGGGAAGGATGAGACAAGTAAGCCAAGCTCGTGGTGACCCTGTAGCAACCACAGCCTCAGAGACCTGCTGGGATGAGAAAAAGTAGTCAAAAACACTTTCCTGCCACTAAAGTAACCCCACAACTTAGGACTCTGCAGGGCCTAAGGGAGAGAGACTTTGCGTAAAAACATGGAACCCTACAATACCGACTTTGCTCCTTAGTAAAGATTAATAAAACTCCATGAGACTGTTGTCCAGAGGTCCTGCGTCCGGCCCCCACCCCCATCCTCACCAACAATAAACACCAGCCTCTTTCTGAAACCACTTTCCCACCCCGTAAGACATACCAGTAGGAAAAAAAAATCAGCCTGGCCCTTTAAGTCTTCCGCGATCCCATTTCGGAGTTTCCTCTTCCCAAACAAAAATAGATGGGTCACTCCCTAGAAGATCTCGGGGAGAGTCTCCTATACGTGTTGCTGTGTAGCTTCCGTACCGCAAAATGGCGCCATTCTAATCAGAAGAGTTGACACAATCAAATAGCCACACGGCACGAAGACGCATGCGTGGCGACAACAACAACAAAAACCACAACCCACATTACTTGAGGGCTCGGGCGTGCGCAAAGCTCCGGGTTCAGTTTCCCGCGCTGGAACTTTTTCAATAGTAAACGAGCAAAGCTCCGCGCGCCCAGGTGGCGCGAGCACTAGGATCTGTCGGTTGGGGTCCTACTTTTACATAACGCCCCCACAATGCCCTTCGCCTTCCTCAACGTGGCCCCCGCTCCAAGCCCATTTTCTGGAGCCAGGAATCCACTCTGTGGGTTAGGAAAGGCCCTCAGGAGGCGGAGGGAAACCTGTGGAATGCCGAGAAGCCGTGTAATGAAATAACGTCACGCCTGCCCCTCACCATTACTCTGACCAGGGTTCGAAGGTCACACTTAGAGCCTAAGGGGAAATGGAGAAGTGCAAAGGGACGAGCAGAATGGCTGGCACCACCTCAGGTTAGCGCACTGGGACGTTCCAGTTCTCACACCGCCCACCCCACCCCACCCAAGTCCCTACGCACGGAGCCAAGCCGCACCTCTCCCCTCATGAGGCAGGAGCCCGGAGGAAACAGTATGCCCGTCAAGGGTCTCTGGCGGGACTGATTCGCACTAGGGGCCCAACAGGCAATAAGGACCCAGCGGATTGGCCGAGGATAGGCCAGTCCCCCGGGCAGCAGCGCCGCGCCGGGACTAGAGGGGAACGTGAGGAGAGCTGCGGAAAGAGATCCAGCCTGGCTCCCTCCTTTCCCCGCCCTAAGTCAGCCTCTTCACCCAGTGAGCACAAAACTGTATTGCCCAGACTCCCGGGCCCCGAACGCCATACCTGGCTTCCGCTTCCGGTGGCTTCTCGTTGTGCCCCGCCCGCAAGCGCCCTCCTCCGGGCCTTCGTGACAGCCAGGTCGTGCGCGGGTCATCCTGGGATTGGTAGTTCGCTTTCTCTCATTTAGCCAGTTTCTTTCTCTACCGGGGACTCCGTGTCCCGGCATCCACCGCGGCACCTGACCCTTGGCGCTTGCGTGTTTGCCCTCTTCCCCACCCTCCCTAATTTCCACTCCCCCCACCCCACTTCGCCTGCCGCGGTCGGGTCCGCGGCCTGCGCTGTAGCGGTCGCCGCCGTTCCCTGGAAGTAGCAACTTCCCTACCCCACCCCAGTCCTGGTCCCCGTCCAGCCGGTGAGTCTGAAGTCGTCGCTGCTCCGAGTCCCTTGTCGCTGGGAGCGGCACATGGGGTCTCCGGACTTTGATGTGGGGGCGGGGGAGGAAGCGACCAGGTCCGGCACGAAGGAGGGAGAGGTGGCCTGAGGAGCGGAGGGGGGATGTGTGGATTCCGGTGAAAGGGACCTGACAATCGCCCCCAACCCGTGAGAAAAGGAGGAGCCCAGTTCTTGCTTGAGAATGATAAACTTGGAAACCCTTGGGAAAGGCGTGGGGGTCATGCAGAGACTTGTATTGGTAGGGAGCCTGAGTCGAGGTCCCTGCCGGAGTTGACACAGAGGAGAGAGGGCCCTGGCCTTCGGGAGCTCCAGGGATGTGGGTCGGGCTGGTGGGTCAAAGTATCTGTTGGCTTCTTTCAAGTGGTGGGACCCCAAAGAATGTTTAACTTCAAAGAAAAGGGGCTGAGATGTAAATTAGAGGAGCTGGAGAGGAGTGCTTCAGAGTTTGGGTTGCTTTAAGAAAGGGTGGTTCCGAATTCTCCCGTGGTTGGAGGGCCGAATGTGGGAGGAGGGAGGATACCAGAGGCAGGGAAGGAGAACTTGAGCTTTACTGACACTGTTCTTTTTCTAGCTGACGTGAAGATGAGCAGCTCAGAGGAGGTGTCCTGGATTTCCTGGTTCTGTGGGCTCCGTGGCAATGAATTCTTCTGTGAAGTGAGTTCTCTTCAACCTCCCTACTTGCCAGCTTCACATATCTTCCCACCAGACGTTCCTTCACATATTCCACTTCTACACTGTTCTCTTACATGCTATTTGAAAACTTCCTATCAGCAAAGAGTCCCCCCTATAAACCCCGACGAACCTGTGCTAAAGTGGCAAAACTGGGGCCCAAGTCCTGAGTCTGCCACCGTCCAGCAATATAACGTTGGGCTAGTCAATTTGTGTCTTTTTCTTTTTTTTGAGACTGGGTCTCACTCTGTCACCGAGGCTGGAGGGTAGTGGTGCGATCTCGGCTTACTGCCACCTCTGCCTCCCAGGTTCAAGCGATTCTCCTGCTCCAGCCTCCCAAGTAGCTGGGATTACAAGTGCCTGCCACCATGCCTGGCTAATTTTTGTATTTTTAGTAGAGACAGGGTTTCACTATGTTGGCCAGGCTGGTCTCGAACTCCAGACCTCAGGTGATCTGCCTGCCTCGGCCTCCCAAAGTGCTGGGATTACAGGCGTGAGCCATTGCGCCCGGCCTGTATCTTTTGTTACTAAAGTGGCACTGCTAGTACTTGTCTCAGGTGGCCTTTAGGAAAACTGAAATGCTACACATTGAAATGTTTTGTTCAGAAACCATGCTGTTCAGCTTCCACCTTCCTTAGCCAGCTGAGAGGACAAAACTGGTTCCTAGAGACGGGATACAGGAGTGGAGTAGGGACAAAGATCTTGAAAAGAATGTCTAAGAAAAAGATTGCTGTATCTACTTATCCTTAGAAAAGAAAAGCCAAAGCTTTTATGGGAGAGAGTGTAGGTGAACTAGGGAGAGACACAAGTACTTCTGCTGAGTTGGGAGTGAGAAACAAGCACAACAGATGCAGTTGTGTTGATGATAAGGCATCACTTAGAGCATTTTGCCCAGGTCAAAGATGAGGATTTTGATATGGGTTCCCTCTTGGCTTCCATGTCCTGACAGGTGGATGAAGACTACATCCAGGACAAATTTAATCTTACTGGACTCAATGAGCAGGTCCCTCACTATCGACAAGCTCTAGACATGATCTTGGACCTGGAGCCTGGTGAGGCACCCTCAGGGTTGTTTTGTGTGTGTGCGTGCACTATTTTTCTCTTCAAATCTCTATTCACTTGCCTGAATTTTGAAATTTCCTTTGGTTCTCTGATTTCTTTAACCCCAAATTCATGCTTTATTTTGATCCTCCACCTGACTCTTGTCTAGTTTTGTGACGTATATCACTTGTTCTCATGTTTTCTAAATCCGCAATTCAGACCTATTCCAAAATGCGTTTCCTCATGGGTCTGGTTTGTTGTCTGTTTCTCCTGCTTTGCACCTTCCAGTCTAGAGTTTCATCTTCTGCATTGACATTGTTGCAGTTATGTATTGAGGAGGGAGTTGGGAGGGAGAGCAAGGAGCAGAGGCTGAAAAGGTGTGAAGGGAAGGCAGAGCTGTCTTCGTTTGATGCAAGGGTCAGAAGCCCAGGTTTCTGGGTCCCATGCCCAGATGTTGGATGGGGTAAGGCCCAAAAGTAGGTGCTAGGCAAACTGAATAGCCCGCAGCCCCTGGATATGGGCAGGGCACCTAGGAAAGCTGAAAAACAAGTAGTTGCATTTGGCCGGGCTGTGTTTCAGATGAAGAACTGGAAGACAACCCCAACCAGAGTGACCTGATTGAGCAGGCAGCCGAGATGCTTTATGGATTGATCCACGCCCGCTACATCCTTACCAACCGTGGCATCGCCCAGATGGTGAGGCCTCTCTGCTCCTACCTGCCTCCTTCTGAGCAGTAAGAGACACAGGTTCCTGCAGCAAGAAGTCATGTTTAAGCCCTGTTTAAGGAAGCTAGCTGAGAAGAGGGGAAGAACCCCAGAACTTGGGCCTGGGAATTGAATTCTGATTGGGGGTCATCCTGAAGGGATTGTTTTCAGGGAGGGAGACAGACCTTGAATCAGAGAGTTGTGATAGACTGCCTCTTCCTCAAGGAACAAACAACAAATGGCTCTGATGGTTTGTAGCCTGCCTAATTGGAAGAAAGGCAACACAGAAGTTTGAGAGCCCATCTAGTCCAGAGAAGGGGCCTCTGGACAGAGGTGGGAGGAGTGGGGGACAGAGTGGTATGGGTTGGGCTGCGAAGGGAGTTGCCTCTTCTTTACATCTACCTGCCAACCCCTTCCATTGTATTCACCTCAGTTGGAAAAGTACCAGCAAGGAGACTTTGGTTACTGTCCTCGTGTGTACTGTGAGAACCAGCCAATGCTTCCCATTGGTGAGTGTTGAAGAAGGGAAAGGAAAGCACCGTGTGGCAGTCTTATGGGAAGGAGTTGGGGCTCAACACATTGGAGCCTGAGTCCTGAGGGGAGGTTAGGTAGGAATAGGGGGATACCTGGCCTGCTGAGTCTGGCTGTCTCCCAGGCCTTTCAGACATCCCAGGTGAAGCCATGGTGAAGCTCTACTGCCCCAAGTGCATGGATGTGTACACACCCAAGTCATCAAGACACCATCACACGGATGGCGCCTACTTCGGCACTGGTTTCCCTCACATGCTCTTCATGGTGCATCCCGAGTACCGGCCCAAGAGACCTGCCAACCAGTTTGTGCCCAGGTAGGGAGCAGGGAGAGTCATTAAGGGTCAAAGGAAAGGCCCAAGATCCCCCAGAGAGGGGAGGACAGGGCATGGCCCTTTCTTGAGGTCTGCTTCTCCCAGAATCAGGGCATCTCCCTGCTGAGTGACTGTGGGAAAGTTATTTGATTATCTGTGCTTGAGTTACCTTATTGTAGAATGTTCTTGAGCTGAGAAGTTGGGAACCACGAGGCTTTAGCTCTGAGCAGGTCCATAGAGGAGCTCAGGTGGGGAGGTGGGAATGCAGGTGACTGGCAGGGCCTGGATGGGGCTCATGCTGCTGCCTCTCTGACCTCTGCCCTGGCCTAGGCTCTACGGTTTCAAGATCCATCCGATGGCCTACCAGCTGCAGCTCCAAGCCGCCAGCAACTTCAAGAGCCCAGTCAAGACGATTCGCTGATTCCCTCCCCCACCTGTCCTGCAGTCTTTGACTTTTCCTTTCTTTTTTGCCACCCTTTCAGGAACCCTGTATGGTTTTTAGTTTAAATTAAAGGAGTCGTTATCGTGGTGGGAATATGAAATAAAGTAGAAGAAAAGGCCATGAGCTAGTCTGCTGGTGCTTGCTGTTGGGGAAGGGAAGGTGATGGTGTGTTGGACTCCAGGGGCCCTCATGGCCCAGCCCACCCTCCCCAGATTGAAAACCAGGACAGATTTGTGCTCAGTGGATTGGGTGGTGTTTTTAGTATGGAGCAGAACAGAATTCCTAGGACTGCGTGTGATGAAATGCAAGGTCAAAAGGAAAAGACAAAGCATATTTCAAAGATGAGAAATATTTGTTTGGATATCTATGACTGTCTGTTTATACTGTAAGGGGCTTAATCAGCAGCTCCATCTTTTAGTTTTAGTTCTAAAGGAAAAGTAGCCTAAAGTCAGTATAACTAAAGGGTGGAACGAGGTGGGACAAGGTCCGGAATTGCTGCTCAGTGATGTGTGTGTGCCTGCCGCTGGTGGAGCTGAGACTGCTCATCTCAGAAGGATGGGGATGCTTGATTTCCTGGCCAGGTTGTCCCAGCACAGTGGGGATTGGCCCTGTTGTATGACGAAGACAGCACATGGTGGCAGAGATAGATACTAACCCATGGACTTTCCAAGGGAGGGAATAGGTCTTTGGAGGGTATGCAAGACAAAGGTAGACACTGGATAAAGAACCCGGTAGTGCCCAGGTATTACCCCATCTGGGCCATTACTCCCACACTCAGGAACCAGACGTTGTGGGTGAGGACATGCTGTCCCTCCTGCCAAGTAATAACTTCCTTCCCAGCCAGGATCCTGCCCCAAGTAGGAATATAGCTCTGCATTTACAGCAGCTCCTGCTCAGACCTTGTCAAAACCACCCTGCAGCTTAGGATTAAGGAGCATGGTCACAGGAAGGTGGGGTTTCAGGGCATCCCCTCAGGAACTGCCCATCTCCCCAGAATTCCAAAATGAAGGTCCATATGCTTGTAGGTGTGCTGGTCATGGTGGGCTTCACAGTAGGAAAGGGTAAGTGGGGCCCAGGGGCAGGGAGGGAGGAAGGGGTAACTGAGTCCAGGAAGGGGGTGGAGCGTGGCCATGGATAATCGGGCTTCCTACTGGCCCAGGGTATTTGAGAGTGACCCAGTGCCTCCATCCCTCCTTCTGCCTCCCCAGTTCCTGTTCCCGACATCCGGACGTGCCACTTCTGCCTCGTAGAAGACCCTTCTGTAGGATGCATTTCAGGCTCAGAGAAGTGTACCATCAGCAGCTCATCCCTGTGCATGGTGATCACCATCTATTATGGTAAATAAGGTCCCAGGAAGGGGCTGCTGGTGGGGCAGCCAATGGCTTGGTCTTCTCTCCTCTCACAGATCAGGGCTGCTCCGGGCATGGGGTACAAGAAGAGAGGAGGGGCTGAGTGCAATGGCTCATGCCTGTAACCCTAGCACTTTGGGAGGCTGAGGCAGGTGGATCACTTAAGCTCTAGAGTTCAAGACCAGCCTAGGCAACATAGTGAGACCCTGTCTCTACAAAAAAATAGCCAGGCATGGTGGTATGCACCTGTAGTCCCAGCTACTCGGGAGGCTGAGGTGGGAGATCTCTTAAACTCAGGAGGCATAGGTTGCAGTGAGCCAAGATTGCGCCACCATGCTCCAGCCTGGGTAACAGAGCTAGACCCTGTCTCAAAAAAAACCAGAAGAATCTTGGAAGGAGGGGTCTAAGGTTCTAGGGGGCCAGCAGAGCTCACTTTTCTAGCCTCTTGAAGGACTCTGGGTTAGAAGTAAATTAGGTCTGGGTGAAGGATGGGAAAAGTCAGTAGCAGGGGTTCTTGGACTATGGGAAGCTATTGGAAGGGGTTATCAGCTTTCCCCTCTCCCTCAGATGTCAAGGTTCGCTTCATCGTTCGAGGCTGTGGACAGTACATTTCCTACCGCTGCCAAGAAAAACGCAACACCTACTTTGCAGAGTACTGGTATCAGGCCCAGTGCTGTCAGTACGATTATTGCAACTCCTGGTCAAGCCCCCAACTCCAGAGCTCTCTGCCGGAGCCCCATGACAGGCCCCTGGCCCTGCCTCTGTCTGACTCCCAGATTCAGTGGTTCTACCAGGCCCTGAACCTCTCCCTGCCCCTCCCCAATTTCCATGCTGGGACGGAGCCTGATGGCCTGGACCCCATGGTCACACTGTCCCTGAACCTGGGCTTGTCTTTTGCTGAGCTGCGCCGCATGTACTTGTTCCTCAATAGTTCAGGACTTTTGGTTCTTCCCCAGGCTGGACTCTTGACACCTCACCCTTCCTGAATTCCACAGTGCAAATATCTTTCTGTAACACCCTCAGCATCCTGCACTGCCCTCTCTGAAAACACCCACATTCTTTGGTCACTGTGATTTCTTAGGCCTCCGTCTGTTGTACCACTAGCATCTATATGACTTTTGTGTAATTTTCTCTCTTGAACTCTGGTGCTGTTTTTTTGTTTGTTTGAGACAAAGTCTCGCTCTGTCACCCAGGGTGGAGTGCAGTGGCATGATCTCTGCTCACTACAACCTCCACCTCCCGGGTTCCAGCGATTCTCCTGCCTCAGCCTCCCGAGTAGCTGGGACTACAGGCGTGCACCACCACGCCTGGCTAATTTTTTGTATTTTTAGTAGAGACGGGGTTTCACCATGTTGGTCAGGCTGGTCTCGAACTCCTGACCTCGTAATCTGCCCTCCTCGACCTCCCAAAGTGCCGGGATTACAGGTGTGAGCCACTGTGCCTGTCTGAGCTCTGGTGCTGTTCTTCCCCCTAGAAAAGAATCTCTAGTGTGGATTCTGCCCAGACAGGCTGACCTGAGAAAGGCACAGTGGTTCCTCCATTCCTTCCCCATCATCTGAGTGTTCCAGTATCCCCCATCCCTCTCAATCCAGTCACCTGCCTATTGACATCTAGCTCTGTTTCCCCTGTCTTGTCCATGTCTCTAAGACCCAGTACCAGACTGAACTAGCAGCAAGAAGGACGAGGAGGCCGGGCATGGTGGCTCACGCCGGTAATCCCAGCACTTTGGGAGGCCGAGGTGGGCGGATCACTTGAGATTGGGAGTTTGAGACCAGCCTGGCCAACATGGTAAAACCCGCTCTCTATTAAAAATAGAAAAATCAGCTGGGTGTGGTGGCACACCTCTGTAATCCCAGCTACTCAGGAGGCTGAGACAGGAGAATCACTTGAACCCGGGAGGCAGAGGTTGCAGTGAGCCGAGATCGCGCCACTGCACTCCAGCCTGGGTGACACAGTGAGACTCCGTCTCCAAAAAAAAGGATGAGGAATAGAATTCTGTGCAGATGTCCTGACTTGGCAATTTTGTGTCCCTGCCTCACTGTCTCCACCAACCCCCGCCTGTCCTAGTGTTGTTCTGCCTCCTGTCCTCTCTTGCTCTCTTGTCAGTCTCTGGCTTCCTCGGCCCCATTTCACTTCACTGAGTCCTGACACCCATCTCCCTAGGGGCCTGTGAGAGGAGAGGGAAGGGTCTGTTCTGCTCAGCTCCATGTCCCCCATTTTCCTCCACAATAAACTGGGACTGGGCTAAAACTGTGTCACATTGTTTGTGGGGTCAGGCTCAGGTGTGGGCAGGTAAACACAGATTAAAGAGGGTTAATGCCTGGCGCAGTGGCTCACGCCTGTAATCCCAGCACTTTGGGAGGCTGAGGCAGGCGGATCACCTGAGATTGGGAGTTTGAGACCAGCCTGACCAATATGGAGAAACCCCATCGCTACTAAAAATACAAAATTAGCCGGGCTTGGTAGCGCATACCTGTAATTACAGCTACTCGGGAGGCTGAGGCCGGAGAATCACTTGAACCTGGAAGGTGGAGGTGGCGATGAGCCGAGATTGCACCATTGCACTCCAGCCTGGGCAACAAGAGTGAAACTGTGTCTCAAAAAAAAAAAAAAAAAAAAGGGTTAGTGAGGTTTGGGATCCAAATAGGATTGCAGAGCCCTCTCCATTGCACTTGGCGTTTGTCGCTTCCTCTCGGCCTCCTGTAAAGGGCACACATCCCTCCCCACCCTCTGCTTAGCTGGAGATCAAAGCATGGGGACTGTGATTCTTCCCAGCCTTAAACATACCCTACAAAACCTGGAAAGTTAGACCCTGATGATGCCAGGTCTTTTCACCTAAGAAAAGAAACTTTAGGCCAGGTGCGGTGGCTCATGCTTGTAATCCCTGAACTTTGGGAGGCCGAGGTGGGTGGATCACCTGAGGTCGGGTTTGAGACCAGCCTGACCAACATGGTGAAATCTTGTCTCTACTAAATATGAAAAATTAGCTGGGCATGGTGGCTCATGCTTGTAATCCCAGCTACTTGGGAGGCTGAGGCAGGAGAATTGCTTGAACCGGGGAGGTGTAGGTTGCAGTGAGCTGAGATCACGCCATTGCACTCCAGACAGGGCAACAAGAGCGAAACTCTGTCTTAAAAAAAAAAAAAAAAGCCTGGGCGCGGTGGCTTGCCTGTAATCCCAGCACTTTGGGAGGCCGAAGCAGGCGGATCATGAGGTCAGGAGTTCGACACCAGCCTGACCAACATGGTGAAAGCCCATCTCTACTAAAAAAAAAAAAAAAAAAATTAGTTGGGCATGGTGGCACGTGTCTGTGATCCCAGCTACTCAGGAGGCTGAGGCAGGAGAATCGCTTGAACCTGGGAGGCAGAGTTTGCAGTGAGCCGAGATCGTGCCACTGTACTCCAGCCTGGGTGACAGACCGAGACTGTCTCCAAAAAAAAAAAAAAAGAAACTTTCTCTTTAAACCAGAAAGACTCAGGAACTCAGAGCCACATGCCAGAGTTACCTGCTGCTGGGGCCCTGGACTCCTGCCATTCCTTAGTTCTTTTCAAGGATTCTGGCATCCAGGATGCCCTCTCGAGGGGCCCAATTTGAGGGGCAAAGTGCTGAGAGCACTGATGTTGGGCTGCAGTGGTTGGATCTTCATGCTAATATTTTAATTTTGAAATAGTGCAAACGTATAGAAAGCAAGGATGGATACAACAGCCTTTTCCATACACTGGATAAACATGCTGGACATAACGCTGCTCTGAGTCAGGCTTGGTATTGAGCAGCAGGACTCCCAGATGAGTATAGCCAGGTGTCTGCCCTTCCAAGTCTTGCAGCCCAGTGCTTGGGTTATGAAACCTTTTTCTGAAAAGCAGTGCAGCTTTGTGGCTGGGAGGTCCAATCCCAGCCCCTCTACCACTTGGATATGTCAGTCTCTTCAGCCCCACCTTGGTCACCTGTCAAGTAGGGATAGTGCCTCAGATGATTGAGAAAACACATGTAAATGTGCATACACAAGTAGAAGTTAAGGCCTTTTCCCCCTCAAAAAAATATATTTGCCCTAGAGTCAAATGCATACACAATGTTCAGCTTTTTTTTCTAAGGTTCTTACTATGTTGCCCAAGCTGGCCTTGAACTCCTGGGCTCAAGAGATTCTTCTGCCTCAGCCTCCAAGTAGCTGGGACTACAGATGCACACCACCATGCTCACCTGGCTGATTTACTTATTTTCAAACCTTTTTGGTAAAACATTCAGAAGCTTGCACATATCACAAGATGGATTTTTGTAAACCACACATCTGTGTAACCAGCCACCAAATCAGCGTGAAGACCTTTACCCGCAGCCAAGCCTGCCTCTGTTCCCCTCTCCCAGGTGCTCTTCCCAGCTCTGGGGTAGCCGCTGTCCTGACTGGTAGTAGCTTAGATGAGTTCTGTCTGTGCTTGATGGAAATGGCATCGTACACATCTGCTTTTACCTATATAGTGTTTTGCACACGTGTTAACAAATCTGTGTGGCCTGTACTCTGACGGAAAATACCAAACCAATGATAATTAAGTCATGAGGCAGTTGGCGTACAAAGAGAGGTACAAACCCTTAATGTGCCCCCCAACCCCCACCTTGCTAAGTCCACCCTTCTCCATGACCTCTGACGTCAGTATAAGACAGAGAAAGGCCCAGGTTTATAGCAGGTCAACCTGGAAGACACCCTCAGAGGCTGAAGAACTTGGCCCAGAATTGAAGAGACCAGGACTCCAATAAGGTCTAACATCTCTTTGAGAGTGGCCTTCTCGGCTCGGGGTGACTCACGCCTGTAATCCCAGCCCTTTGGGAGGCCAACGCAGGCAGATCACTTGAAGTCAGGAGTTCGAGACCAGCCTGGCCAACTGGTGAAACCCCGTCTCTACTAATAAAATATAAAAATTAGCCAGGTGTGGTGGCATGTGCTTGTAATCCCAGCTACTCGGGAGGCTGAGGCAGAAGAATCACTTGAACCTGGGAGGCAGAAGTTGCAATGAGCCAAGATCACACCACTGCACTCCAGCCTAGGTGACAGTGAGACTGTCTCAAAAAAAGAGTGGCCTTCTCACCCACCTCCTTCTACCTGGGCCTGGTCCTTTCGCAGCCCCCTTCCCACCAACATAGCCCTCTAAACGCCCCTAGCCCCCACACAGCTCTGGTCTGACAGCACTGCCGAGGATGCCCACTAACTTTCTGGCATTCACCATAGGAGGGCTTTCATTTCCTCTTTCTCTTTTTGTGTCTAGAGCAAATCACATACCAAGGCAGGACAAGAGGACAGCTCAGCAGAGCTGGGGGTCCCTTACCTGACCCATGGTAGGGCAGTTAGGCAGGTGCACCTCCCTCAGCCTTCACCTCCACCAGAAGAAAGAGACATACCAAACAGTTTACACACAAATTTATTTGGGAGAAACATCCAGGGACTAGGGGACAAGAGAGGAAACCTGGTGGGCAGTAGGGCTGGGGGTACAGAGTAGCAGTAAGTGTGCTGAAGGGCGTCAACCAAGAGGAAGAGCCAAGGCTGGGGTCCAGTGGCTGGAGGGAGGCAAGGAGGGCTGGTATGAGGGACTAGAAGTCCTGGCCAAGCCCAGATAGAAGTCAGGAAGGTGGCTGGAAACTGGTGGAATTTTACACCAAAGTTTGCTGCAGTCACACTAAGGAGTATAGAGCCCTCTGTTTTGAGGGTCATTGCAGAAATCCAGGAAGCAGTATTGAGAGAATATCCAGAAGCCAGACACCGGAGAAGTTCGGGTATTTGAACAATCACTCATCTGCTCCTTACTTCGGCAGTCACTCACCATGACGTCAGAACCGCTGCCTGGGGAGGGACAGTGGGCACCAGTGATACGGAAGTCCCCAGGAAGAGCCCCAAATCCTCTCATCCCCACACTCATAAGTCAAAAAAAAAAAGAAAAAGAAAAGATTCCTGTAGTTAGGCATGGGTGGACATGCCCAGTGTTCACCAGCCATGGAACTCCACTGAAGTTCCCATGCAAGGCTGGAGGAAAAGAGCCATATGAAATGTAATGGTTGGAGGGGGAGTTGGGAGTTACTGAGCCAAGTGAGGAGAACTAGCACCATAGGACCATGTGAGAAAAAGCTGGGAAATGTTTTGGAGATTGGGTGGCAGGAAGGAGGTGTATTGTTATTTATTTTTCAGACCAAAAGAGAATAAGATGATGTCTGCTGCTGTTATACATAATAGAGAAAAATCTTTGTGCCTGCATCCCAAGAAGTCATGTTCAGGGATGTTTGCTGCTGCCCTGCTTGAGAGAAATGACCAAAATGCCCATCAATAGTGGGATGGGGAAATCAGCTGTGATATGCGCATGCTATGGAGTAGTATACAGCAGGTCAATAAAACAAGGAAGCTGTTTACAAACTGATATCGGAACATTCAGTTCCCCTAACTTAAATGTGGAATAATGTTTACAGTGGGATGCTACTATCTTGGGTTGGGGCGGGGGAAGAGGTGAAAAAATAGTAAACAGCATATTTGTGCAGGGTGGAATGTGCATAAAAGATTGCAGGAGGGATCATCCAGAAAGTAAAAAAAGTGGTCACATGTGCAGGGGAGCCAGGTGGGTTAGGGTAGTAGCGGGAGACTTTGGTTTGATGGTATTGTATACTCTGATATTTGACCCACATCTGTGCATCGGCTATGTTAAAAGGGTAGTAAGAGGACTTGAACACAGGCAGCTGCATGCAGTGGTTGTTGAGAGCACCATCTCTGGAGCCATCACAAATTCTGGCTCAGCATCTGTGAGACTCAGGCAAGGTTATGACCTTTCTGCACCTGTTTCCTCATCTGTAAAATGCACATAGTAATAATACCTGCCTCAGCGGATTGCAAGTGTTTAGAACAGTGCCTAGCACATATTATGTGTTACGTTTTTGCTAACTTAAGAAAGGTGGGGGGTCGGTGGAAGAGCAGGCATCGGGAAGGAGTCAATTTTCAGCGAGGGAGATGTCCAGTGGTCAACGGGATATGAGGAGAGCGGTTTGACATAACATTCAGATTCAGAAGGAAGTGGTATGTGGCTGCTGGTTGAAGCCAGCAAAGCAGATAAAATCCTCTGCTTTTGAGTATATGAAGTGGGAAGACAGCTAAGGACCAAACCTTGGTGAACATGAACCACTAAGGGTCAGAGAGAAAACGCTCCATGAAGGAGACTGAAGAAGCCGTGGAGGATGCAGGAGAAGAGCAACACCAGCAGTAACTGCAGACAGATGCGGAAGCAGACAGCTTGAGGACAGGCAAGGGCACCTGGAGATCTGGAGGGTCCCCGTCAAAGCTGCGCACCTTGATAGGGTAGAAGCTATTCAGCTACAGATTGAGGAGAGAAGGTTAGTGGAAGTGGAGACAGAGTGTGGCTCTGAAGAAAAGGGAAGAGAGGCTGGGCACGGTGGCTCACGCCTGTAATCCCAGCACTCTGGGAAGCTAAGGTGGGTGGATCACCTGAGGTCAGGAGTTCGAGACCAGCCTGGCCAACATGGTGAATCCCCATCTCTACTAAAAATACAAAAAATTAGCTGGGCGTGGTGGCGTGCACCTTTAATCCCAGCTGCTTGGGAGACTGAGGCACAAGAATTGCTTGAACTGGGGAGGTGGAGGTTGCAGTGAGCCAAGATTGCGCCACTGCACTCCAGCCTGGGTGACAGAGCAGCAAAAAAAAAAAGACAGGATTGGAGCAATGTCTTATGGGATTATGGGAACAAGACTTGGGGTGCAGCTTAGGAGGCTGAGAGAGTTTCCGTTTGGGAGAGTGCTGGGCCCATGACAGGAGAAGGCCACTTACTGTTCTTTTTGTGGAGAGTGATGCAGCTGCTGCCAGCTGGGGTGAGGCAGATGTCAGATCCCAGAAGGCACCCTAACTCCTTGGTCTCCAAGAGGCATCGGTAGCAGCGCAGGTATTTGGGGAATGGAAGTGGTTGAGGGGGTTCCCAATTGACAGGAACAAACTTACCTAGAACACAGAGAAGTGCTGACCCCACTCACACCCCATTCTACCTCACACCCTACCACTGCCTGATTCCAGGCCACTCAGCCCCACTCCTCCCTCCCTTCCTGTCTCAGAAAACCATCAAAGCCCCAATTCTCTGCTTCCTTCCCCAACTGCATACACATACATCCCCCTTTTCCTCTGGTCCTAAGGCCAGACCACATGTTAACAAATCCCCAGACCCAGCAGAGCACTTGGTGTTAGGCAGAGGAAAGTGCTAAACCAACACTTTGAATCCTGTGTCTCTGTGGCTGGTGCTTTGCAGCCAAGTGGGGAGCCCAGCAGGCTGGACTCAGTCTTGTTCTATCCTGTGGATTCTGGTTTTCTCATCCAGCACACTCCCTAACCCTCCCTATTCTATGTTGCCCTCAGATCCAGAGAGGATTCCTTCAGTATCTCTATTCAGGTCACTGCTGTGAAGTGAGACAGCCCTGGGGTGGTCACTAGAAATCTCCTTCAGAGGCTGGGTGCGGTGGCTCACGCCTGTAATCCCAGCACTTTGGGAGGCCAAGGCGGGCAGGTACCTGAGGTCAGGAGTTCGAGACCAGCCTGGCCAACATGGTGAAACCCCGTCTCTACTAAATATACAAAAATTAGCTGGGCTTGGTGGCTTATGCCTGTAATCCCAGTTATTCGGGAGGCTGAGGCATGAGAATCGCTTGAACCCGGGAGGTGGAGGTTGCAGTGAGCCGAGATCTCGCCACTGCACTCCGGCCTGGGATACAGAGCGAGACTCCATCTCAAAAATAATAATAATAATAAATTTTTAAAAATCTTCAGATTGCACATCAGTCCATGAGCAGGCATTCCCTACCAAACCCATCTGTCCCATCTCTCCTCCTGCATGGGTTTACCTGAGCATCCTGGACAGGTGTACCCAGACACTTGGTGTCTGTGGGTTTCTCCATCCAGGCCAGGAGACCCTTCTGAACCCTTGGAGCCACTTACCAAACACCAAGCTCATCATGACCAGCACTATTAAGAGGACCGTGTAGAGGGCTTGGGGGCTGCTGTGGAAGCACAGGGGACCCAGACTCTGGCTCCCTGCAGGGCCTGCCATAAAACGCATGACTGCCTGCTGGCCTCCAGTTTGGGCTTATATTGGTGGAAGAGAGGTTGGCCAAGAGGAAGGAGAGAGGCAACACCAGCTCAGGGTGGAAATCAGTGCCAGACCAGCCAGAGGGGCAGAATGTTCGCACCCACAGCCACTCTGGGGCATAACATCCTGCTTGAGGGCAGGGGACCAGCAATAGGGGAATGAGAAAAGGAACTGTCTTTCCTATTAATTGGACAGATGTTTATTGAATCACTGCATCAGATGCTGGGGATACAACCCTGCACAAAGTCTCCACCCTCACAGGGCACAGTCTAGTAGGGGAGACAAGTCCACCAGCAATGATGTGGGGAGGGCAGAGTGCTGCCAGGAGCACCTCGACAGTTAAACCACTGACCAGAGGGATTTCGGCAGAGGAGTAACTTGATCGGATTTCTGTTTATAAAAGATTGCCATGGCTGCACATTGCATTTGGGTCAAGAGTGGAGGCCGCCGGGAAGTAGGACGCTATTCCCGAGTCCGGTCACAAGATGGCGGACTGGTCCGGCAGAAGACGAGCAGGGACGAGGAAGCGGGGCTAATGAACCTGAGATACAGTTAGAAGACTGGACAGATTTGCTGTTGGACTGAACGAGGGGTGAGGGAACAGGGGTAGGCTTGCACAAGGAAGTGGTACCATTTTCCAAGATAGGAAACATGTGGTCTGTCTCAAAAAAAAAAAAAAAAAAAGCAAATAGGGGGTGCCCAGTCCCACTTCTCATACCCTGGGGACACCTGTCAGACATCCTAAAACAAGGACACCTGGATCCCAAGCGATACGTACTCAGCTCAGTGCTCCCTTGGGGTTCCAGGAACCCAGCGCCTTCCCTCACCTCATCCTTTTTCCTGCCCCGCCTGTGCTCAGCTGCGGCTCAGTGGGCCTGAACTCCGGAGCCCACAGAATCTGGCGCTGGGCGTCCGCTCTCCGCGCCTGACCGCACCTCAGAACTCCGGTAGGACGGGGGGGTGGCCCCCCGCTCAAGCTCTGTTCCCTGGGGAAGAAACCTGGAAAGTGCGAACCGCGCGTCGGGACCCAAGCGTCGGGCCCCAGCGGACATCCGGAGCCCGAAGCGGCTCCCCAGGAAGGCGGCGCCGTAGCGCCACTCTCCCTCCCAGGCGAATTCTGGAGACCGCGGCCCCAGGCGTCTCACCCATTTTCTCCGCTGGGGACCCGCTGGGCTCCCCATCCACGCCTACTCGGTCCCCACCCCACCAGCTCAGTCTTGACTCAGAAACTCAGGGTTTTTACTTTTAGGATCGTTGGGCTGTGCGTTAGGGGAGGAGGTGGTCCTCAGCGTCCTGGAACGACACCACCTGCTCCAATTTCCCGTCTGGAGGTTCTGGTCGAGGCTCCGAACTCGGGTTCCCTGCTACCTCCCAGACTATTCAAGAATTATCCAGTCCCAGGATGATAAGGGGGAAGATGGGAAGAAACAGACGGGAGACGCCCGCCCAGAAAGACTGCGGGAAGAAAGAAATTCGAGAGGAAACTGCACGCCACTGAGCGCCTCCCAAAAGCCTTGGAATGAATGAATTTAAAAACTATATTAGGGCCGGACTGCGGTGGCTCACGCCTGTAATCCCAGCACTTTGGGAGGCCAAGGCGGGTGGACTACCTGAGGTCAGGAGTTCGCACCCAGCCTGGCTAACATGGTGAAACCCCGTTTCTACTACAAATACCAAAAATTAGCCGGGCGTGGCGGCTCATGCCTGTAATCCCAGCACTTTGGGAGGCCAAGGTGGGGGATCATTCGAGGTCAGGAGTTCGCAACCAGCCTGAGCAACATGGTGAAACCCCGTCTCTATCAAAAAATACAAAAACATTAGCCAGGTGTGGTGGCGCACGCCTGTAGTCCTGGCTACTCGGGAGGCTGAGGCAGGAGAATCTCTTGAACCTGGGAGGCAGAGGTTGCAGTGAGCCGAGATCGCACCACTGCACTCCAGCCTGGGCGACAGAGTGAGACTCTGTCTTAAAGAAATAATAACACAAAATAAATTGTATTAGAGAAAAGCCAGAGTAGTGGAGAACTGCAGAGGAACGCGGGGCACCTACATAAATGTCTTGAATGAATGAGTGCACAGAGTGATAGACAAAAAGAATCAGAGGGCCGGGCTCCGTGGCTCACGCCTGTAATCCCAGCACTTTGGGAGGCCGAGCTGGGCGGATCACAAGGTTAAGAGATCGAGACCATCCTGGACAATATGGTGAAACCCCGTCTCTACTAAACATACAAAAATTAGCCAGGAGTGGTGGCGCCTGCCTGTAGTCCCAGCTACTCAGGAGGCTGAGGCAGGAGAATCGCTTGAACCCGGGAGACGGAGGTTGCAGTGAGCCGAGATCGCGCCACTGCACTCCAGCTTGGCGACAGAGCAAGACTCCGTCTCAAAAAAAAAAAAAAAAAAAAAAAAAGAGAGCCAGGGGCTCCTCTTGAAGCGAAGAGGGCAAAGGGCAAAGGGGAAGCACAGGGGAACTTCGCGGCGCCCTCTGAAGCTCCCTCTCGAATATAATCGCAACGAAAAGGCCAACGACTAGAGGCTTTGCGAGGCTGAGGCTGGGCTTCGGGAGGGGATTGCCCTGAGAGGTCCGGGAGGACTTGCTGTGGAATTCAAGCGACCGTGGGCCTTGAGGGAACCGGGGGGCAAGACACCCACCCAGCATTCGCGGAATATTTCCTCGAATTATTTCGGGGAGGGGTGAGGCCGGGGCAGGGTGGGGCCTTCTTCGGAGGGGGCGCGGCCTCCGAGTAATTAATCCCGTCTTTGTTGCGTTTTGCTCCTCTCCTGTCCACCCAGCAGGGCCAGCCCAGGGCGCGCTAAGAGTCCAGAGAGTTCGTTTCCATGGTGACGGGTTCCGCGAAGGTTTTCCTGGGGTGAAGAGGCAGGGCGTTGAATAATCGCCATGGCGACAGCAGCAGATGACGGTGTCCCTTCTGAGTGCTCCTACCTAGAGTTAAGGGATACCTGAGGGTAAGCAACCGAGTGACGAAACAAAGAAGGCGGGGCCTGAGGACAGAACGCCAAGGTTAGGGGAATGGAGCCAGGCAAACGAGGGGCGGGGCTGTAGATGACCCGGTCGGGAGAGGGCCACGGTTTGTTGGGGGAGCGGCTCGAGATTGCGTTCTAGAGAGGAACCAGAGAGAGGGTCTTTAACCTAAATATAAATGAATGACTGGATTCCTGAAGAATCCGGAATGGCTTGTTGATTGGATAGATGGATGGATGGATGGACGGACGGACGGACCGATGGATGGAAATCTGGCTATCACTGACGCCTGAGCTCCCCACCCTCTTGGGCCCTCCACCTCCGGAGCCCTCACTCGCTTGTGACAGCTGTACGAGAAATACATGCCTCTCCTAGGAGCAAACCCTCAACCCAAACAGGCAGCACAGAGCCAGTCCAGCACCTCACACTGGAGGCACTCAGGGTGGAGCCCAGGTCGATGAGACGGCGTAGGATGAGGCTTTTTGGCCCAGCTGGGAACCACTTCTTTCCAGATTTCCCGTCCAGAGTCTAACTTTCCTTTCTCCCAGCGCCATCTTTTCTGCTAGTTTGCCCAGCTCCTCAGGGTGCCTGGACTTTCAGGCCTCACCTTGTGTCCAGTATAGCAGGGTCCAGCGCCCCAGCAACTGGGAAGGTCTGCATCTCTGCTGATCATCCCCTGGAACTGCTGGAACTTTGCTATATAGGGTGAGGAGTGGACAGGGGCCTGCTTCCACCCCTGGGTGGGGATTAGTTCTGAAAACAAACACAGCTGCTCTGAACCTTATTGCATAGGGAGTAATCTGAAGTAGGCTGAGGCCCCTGGATGGGGGGGTTCAGAATTCACATGTTGAGCCTACCTTTCTTTCCCTACCCAATTTCAGGTATCTAAGGGCCCCTCAGGTCATCCACTGTTGTCTACAATTACATGCAGTAAGATGGGGGAAAGTGGCAGTAGGGGCAGTTCAGCAGAGTCCCTAATGGCCATGTCCAGGGAGGGGTGTCCTTTGTCCCCAGGGTATGGGAGGTGAGACTGGGCACCCCTATTTGCTTTTTTTTTTTTTTTTTGAGACAGAGTCTCACTCTGTCACCCAAGCTGGAGTCCGGTGGCACGATCACAGCTCACTGCAGCCTCAACCTACCGTGATCCTCAGCCAAGCGATCCTCTTACCTCAGCCTCCAGAGTAGCTTGGAACACGGGTGCATGCCACCATGCCTGGGTAATTTTTAAATTTTTTGTACTGATGGAGTCTCCCTATGTTGCCCTGTCCAGTCTTGAACTTCTAGGCTCAAGTGATCCTCCTGCCCCAGCCTCCCAAAGTGCTGGGATTACAGATGTGAGCCACCATGCCCAGCTCCTCTTTGCATTTAAGGAGCTTCCCTTAGCTGAACAAAAATTTAGTTTTCAGGGGATTAACTCTTCTGTTGGATCTGGGAGGATGGGATTCAGAACTGTGCAGCTGGCTCCAGAGCTTCATGTTCCACACTTCCCATCGTTTGCCCCCCTGGAATGGGATAGAGGAGAGGGCACCAGTATCAGCTATCCACCTGTTTGCTAACGGTGGAGCATTATGGAGCTGTGGTCACCTGCCTCTTCTAACTCCAAATTTCAGGCATCACATCACCTGATTAAGTCTCAGATCTCCACTTCCAGTGGAGACTCAGTATATCTTCCCTTAAGGAGTTGCAGCGCTAATGGGGGCACACACAGCCTCTGCCCTGGGGTTTCAAGAAGAGCTTCATGCACTGGGTTTGGAGAAGACACAGAAATTTAGCCAGAGACTCCATCTAGGACATTAGAACATTGTCGCCCACGTTAAGTATCTTGCTCAAAAGAATGGAGTTGGCCGGGCGCGGTGGCTCACGCCTGTAATCCCAGCACTTTGGGAGGCAGAGGCGGGTGGATCACGAGGTCAGGAGATCGAGACCATCCTGGCTAACACAGTGAAACCCCGTCTCTACTAAGAATACAAAAAATTAGCCAGGCGTGGTGGCAGGCGCCTGTAGTCCCAGGTACTAGGGAGGCTGAGGCAGGAGAATGGCGTGAACCCAGGAGGCGGAGCTTGCAGTGAGCCGAGATTGTGCCACTGCACTCCAGCCTGGGTGACAGAGCGAGACTCCGTCTCAAAAAAAAAAGAATGGAGTCGGCTGAGGTGGGTGGATTGCCTGAGCTCAGGAGTTTGAGACCAGCCTGGGCAACATGGTGAAACCTGTCTCTACTAAAATACGAAAAATCAGCTGTGTGTAGTGGCACACACCTGTAATCCCAGCTACTTGGGAGGCTGAGACAGGAGAATCGCTTGAACTTGGGAGGCAGAGGTTGCAATGAGCTGAGATCGTGCCACTGCACTCCAGCCTAGGCGACAGAGTGAGAATCCATCTCAAAAAACAAACAAAAAACCATCCCCAACAAAATAAAACAAAACAAAAATGGACTCAGGGCGATAAACTTTGGGGTCTTTCATCTGGAAAAGAGAAGTTTCCAAATGAAGAAAGTGGCCAGCGGCCAGGCGCAGTGGCTCACACCTTTAATCCCCAACACTTTGGGAAGCCAAGGCGGTTGGATCACCTGAGGTCAGGAGTTCGAGACCAACTTGGCCAACATGGCGAAACCTCATCTTCACTAAAAATACAAAAATCAACTGGGTATGGTGGCGCATACCTGTAATCCCAGCTACTAGAGGGGCTGAGGCTGGAGGATCACTTGAACCTGGGAGGTGGAGGTTGCAGCAAGCTCAGATTGTGCCACTGCACTCCAGCCTGGGCAACATAGTAAGACTCCATCTCCAAAAAAATAAAAAAAACTGCCAGGCAACAAACCAATGGGTGGAAGAGGGATTTATTCACTGTGTTCCACAAGGTCCAAAGTTAGAGATAGATGGCAGTTATAGGGAACCAATTTCCTCAGGTACAACCTAAGCATCTTCTCCTAACAGAGCCGTCCAAAAGGCAAAGTATGGCTCTGAGAAGACATGAGTCCTTGGCACCTGGCCCTCCGTCCCTGGCAGGGCCTGTGTTTGTTGAACTGCAAAAAGGCTGTGAGGACAGAGACTTGATGACATGGCAAGGTGGGTGTGCAGGGTTTGCTGCATAAGACGTGGGGAGCAGGCCCTTCCTCACTCTTCACCAAGATAACAAGAGGTGAGCAATGAAAATTGGGGGTACTGCTAGTAACACCATGCAGGTTGAACCTGGAAACCAGCAGAAGCACTGGGTAGGTGAAATCGGATCCTAGAAAGCTCATGAGCCGTAAGCAGGAGGGGGCAACCATGGGCTCCTGGGGTGGTTGTATGCAGGAAGAACTGAAGAAGGAGGCGGGAGGGGCCAGGGAGGCTGCACAGTTGTGATAACAGTAGGCACATCAGGGACCGGGGAGGTTTGGGGACCTGCTGCCTGAGGAAAGCTCAGGTTAGGGGCTGAAGGCCTAGGGGGACACAGAGATGGGAAGGGTTAGATTAGCTAGATTGTCTAGAGTTAGGGTTTCCCAAAGCCCAGCTCTTTGGGGCCTCTGCTCTCCCCACTACCTGCCCCTGGCTCCCTGGACACTTGAGAAGTTATACAATTAGCCTGATAGTAGAAAAAATACCTTTTTATTAATTATTAGGAATAATCCATTCATGTAATGCAGGATGTATGTTGGAGAAGGTTAAGTACAGCCACATGAATGAGGGGAAACGTGCAAGAGGAACAGTGGTGAGAAGGGGGATGGTCCCCCACTTTCCACAAACTATAAACAGCAACATGAACACAGAGAATCACAAATAAGAGGGTCTTTCCTCATGTCTCCTCTCACCCCATTCTTCCATAATGAGTCCCAGTTGGTCCCTAGAGGTGCCAGGGCATCTGGAAGTTCTGGGCTGGGAGTGGGGTGCAGTGAGTGGCCTCAAAGTTGTGCAGATGCTTCCGAGCCTGAGGAAAGGAGGTGGGACAGGTGGGGTACAGAGCACTGTTGGGAGGGGCAGCCACTGGACTCCCTCCCCACCCTCCACTTCCGCATCCACCACCCACTCTACAAAAGCTGCCACTTCCAATGCTTATAGGGTATCCCCAGTCCCCCTATGTGAGCCCTGGCCATTCAAGAACCCTTCCCACTTCCCACTCCTTAGCTCACCAGAAACAAAGCCAGCTGCCGCCGTCCATCTGCACTCATGTCCTCCCCTGCAGAGAGGAGGCGCTCAAAATAGGCCACACATCTGGGTATTCATCCCCTTCCTAGGCCCTTCCCACCCTCTCTCCTGCCCCAGGAGCTCCTTACCCACGCTCCAGGGGAAGTCGGGCCCGTGTTCTGCCTGGTAGGAGCGGAGGACAGACAGACACCAGTCCTCTTCCACCTCCCATCGGCTATAAATTGAGGCTGGTCAGGGAGAGAGATGACAGCCAGTCAGCAACCTGACCTTGCTGGGCCCCCGCCCCAAGCCTCACTGGATCCCTTCTCACCTTCCTCCAGCTGTGAGGAGGCCTCCAACCACTGCCTCACCACTCGAAGACCCTCCTCTGCCATCACCCGGGGATACCTACGGAGGAAGTGCCAGGACAGGTCAGGGCTGATTTTTTTTCATTCACCATCCCTGAACCTTCCTCCCTCCTTCCCTGTGCTGGTATCAGTATCTGTGTGTGTACACTGCCCCCAGCGCGCACACACCCTGGCTCTCACCGATGCTGCAGGAGCTTCAGCAGGAGGTCATTGCCTCGGTTGGACATGATGTCCTCAGGAACCCTGGGGGTGAGAAGAATGTACCCTGGAGGGGCTGGAGGTTAGGAGGAAGGGTCTAGATACCCAGGTTTCTGGTGGGCAGAGGTAGAAGGGACAAGTTCCTGGCCATCTCTGGGGTTCCTGAGGGCCGAGATTCCCACGCACTCACGTGGTGGTGATGATCTCATCCTTGGTTCTCCGGATCAGCAGTACAGGACCCTGGTATCTTCAGAGAACAGAGCAGTGGGAAGGGAGAGCTCAGAGGGAGACGGGTGACAACTGGCCCACCCCTATCCCTGCACTGGTAGCATTCTTACCCTCCCCTTGCTATAGCACAGCCCTTGACCTAGCCCTTCACTCAGGGGTGAGAGGGGATTATTTAAGGGGCATGGTTCAGTCTGGCCCTGCTGGGAGACCCCTGCCGTGCCAGGCCTTAACCCTTTGGTTGCCAGATCCTGAGGTGGTCCAGAGTCCCAGGGGACCTGGGAGGGGTTAGGCCAGTTGAGGTGGTGGCAGGGTCACTCAGGATGTGAGCCAGTGGCCTTTTACCAACTTGCACTTTAGTACTAGTTTCAGGGTTTGAGCGCCCAGCAGAGCTGTATGGGGGGCAGGTGTTCAATGCCGGACGCTGGCCGGCCCTCACCTGCACAGCTGCTCCGCGTTGTTTAGATTGAGATGCTGCCTCACGGTCCTGGTCACCAGGCCCCCTAGAGTGGGATAAAGGTGAAGGGATGGCAGAGACAAAGCCCTTGCCCAACATAAAGGTCCTCACTATTCACGGAGAAAGAAAACTGAGGCCCCCAGACAAAGGAGTCCTCCTGCTTCCAACAATGGGGCGACTTACTCCCCACCCAAGAAAAGGGAGCCATCTCAGAACAGTTCCCAGTTCCAGCCCACCCCTTCCCAGGAAGGGCAGGCCTGGGAGCTGCACTCACTCCAGCTGTCTGGCATGACCTTCAAGGCCAAGGGCACCAGGTCATCAAAGGAGGCATCCAGGATCATGGCACTAACATCTGGGTAGGACATGGCTGCCCACGTGGCTGGTACCAGGGCAGGGAAGAAGAGTAAGAACTGAGAAAGGCTCCTTTCTCCCCACCACCCATGCTCTCATCCCACTGACCCTATAGGCCAACCCCATTCCCCCTATGTTATCCCTTGTTTTTTTCTTAACCTACTTCACTTGGTTAGGGAACTATCTGGAGAGGATGGGGATAGAACACTGGAGATAGTGCACTGAAGATAATGGGCAGGAAACATTCACTTTCCCTGATCTCCCCACCCAGGACCTGGGTCTGCTTTTCCTTTTAATGACTGGGCACAAGAGGGGAAGGAAAGGTGAAGTGTATGCAAATAGGATAGCTTCTTCCAGGCCCACTCAGAGATTCTACTTCCTCTCTCTTCTTCCTTGAGCCTCCACCCCACCCCATTTCCCCACCTCTCCCGGGTGGGGCTGGGTGGTCATGAATGTGTCTACAGTGGGGGATGGGAGGGAGGCTGGTACCAGTGAAGCCGCCGATGGACCAGGCGTAGATGATGATGTCCTGGGGCTGGAAGCCCAGGCGGTGGATGGCAAACTGGACCACCACATCCATGGCATTAGCCTCATTCTGCGGGAATGGCACCCCCTGCAGGAGAAAGGGCAAAGTCAGGAGTGTGTCAGCACCAAAGGCCAGCTCACCTGTCCCTCCCAACGTGGACCCCTCCTGCAGCCACCTATGACAGGCAGAGAAGGTGTAGAAGGAAGGGATGGTAGGAGAGGTTGTTCTCTCCAGAAGACGGATGTGTACAATGAGATCTACCTCCTCCTCTCCTGCTAGCCCCGCACTGTGGGGATGGGGGCATGGCTCCCAATGCTGCCTTCACAACCTCCTAGACCCCAGCCCTCAGGTGAGTGGGACGCCTTCAAGAAATCCACAGCCCCTCTCCTCCCTCCAATGGCTGACCAGAGGGAAACAGACATAATTCAGGAAAAGGAAGGGATTCCTGAGATGGTCTCACCGTGCTTCCAGCAAAGCCTGGATGATTCCAGCCCAGGACTGAATATCCAGCTGTAACACAGGGGGAGGAGGGACTGAGACCTTGTGGCCCACAGCCCTTTCTCCATCCCTGGGGGAAGGAAGAGCAGAAGTACCCCCCAGCTTAGATGCAAATAACTCCAAGCCTTCCCAGAAATAGGAGATGACACCAGAGGTTCTGAGGCAGCACAGGGAGCAGCATGTGATTGTGTGGGGTGTGTGGTGGGGGAATGGAACAGAATGAAAAGCATAATAGCTAGGGACACAGGCCAGGGGAGGGATGTAAGGTTATCAAAGCAAATGGCGAGTGGACTTTTCCCTAAAGCTGAGAGACTCAAAACCTCACCCAGAGAAAGCAGAGGCCAGGGGAGGTCAGGTCAGTGTGGGAGGCAGGGACATTCCCTTTCAAAGGGCGGAGATAAGGAGGCTGAGTCACCGTCCTACCTTCCAGGGGCGTGGAGACGCAGCCCACCTCATAAAACCCAGCATTCCCCTCACAGCAGATCACCTAGGAAGGAGGCAGGAAGGAAGGGCTGGGGGGCCAAGTTGGGACTGAAAAACTCCCTTTGGGCAGGGAGGGCAGCCCATGAAGAGCTTTGCAGGGAAGAGGAAAGGGCAGGTTTCTGTTTTCTCCAAGGGGAATGGAAGCTTCTCATTCCACAGGGTCCATAAGAGGAGAAGCAAAGGGATTACAAATACTCCTCAGAGGCTGACCTGCTCGACCACCCAGCCATGTCTTTTCCTTGGAAGATTACCAGCTGGATCTCTTTCAGGAAGGGGACTATGGAGATGTTTTTCCTTTCTCGTTTTCGGGTCTGTTATCTTCTGTGACCATTGCTATTGTGTGGTATGCTGATTGCTCTCCCTATCCCTCTCTGAGCTCCAGTCTTATGGTCAGATAAACTGTAATGCCATGGCGCCCCAAGCTGAAACCCACGAATGGTGGGATTTGCATGAACTCTCATAACAGATGGGCAGAGCCAGGACTAGAACCCAGCTCCCTAGACTCCTGGCTTAGCGCTCTTTCCACGGCTGCTTCATGGAGGTAGGAGACTTTGAGGCCAGGCTGCCTGGGTCCAAATACCAGCTCTACCACTTACTGTGAGGTCCAGGAAAGGTTTTCTGTGCCCCAGTTTCATCTCCTGTAAAATGGGCTAATATAAGCAGTACCTATCTCACGGGATTCTTTTGAGAATTAAATATATATGCTTCATATATATATGAGAATTAAATATATATAAGTGTGAAGTGCTGTCAAAGTGGTAACTATTAATATTAGTTTCTCGTCCTTGAACGTCTCTCCTACTTCATCTGTTTCTCTATCACAGGGTTTCACTACATCACAAGGTCTTTAGCGTGGAGCTAGGACATGAGATTATCCCCAGTAGTGGTTCCTTCAGGGAGGTGCTATAGCATTGGGGTCCCCAGACCTCTACTGCCTTCCTCACACTCACCCCACCTCTGGGCTCTCTGCTCCCTCTTACCAGCTTCTGTCCCTGGGGCTCAGCTGTCCCCCGCCGGTCCACAAACATGGTGTCAATCTCATTGCCATCACAGGCCAGCAGCTTTGCCCGGCGCCCATTACACTGAGTACGGAAGACGCAATGGCCAAGATGCAAGGGTCAGGAGGCCACATCACAGGGGTGGGGCGGGGTGGGTGGGGGTGAGAGGGGAGGGCTTTAGGGGATGTGCGGGCAGGGAAGCCTCACCTCTTCCACCAGTCGGGCCTGGCCCTGCAGCAGCACAGGCATGAGGGCCTTCTGCAGCAGGTACACAGAGCCTGGATACAGCATCCGGCGCCCTAGGGTGTGCGCCACCAGGTAGCTGTGGGGAACACAGGTTAACAAACCCCAACCCTGTTGAGGCCTGGGGACTGTGCTGGGGACCATCCCAGCCCTAGCACTCACAGACTGTAAGGCCTGCTTTACCCCTGACCTTCACAGCTTTACTTTCCTCTTTCAAGCCTTAATGAAATATGTACCAGGCTAGTGTTTTGCAAACTTTTCTTACTGCAACCTTTGTAAGATAAACATTTTATATTGTGGCTCAGTGCACACATATCCTGTATGTACAGAATTCTGAGAGTTTTATGATGTAACTGTCTATACATAATAAGTAAATGCAAAGTTATCATCAGATTATGATTCTGTTAAAATATAAGTACAACATATTAAAGGTCCCCAAATAAATAATGCTTTAAAAAATGATGGTTATAATTCAAAACCTCAAATATGGCTTGCCTCCCTGACTAATTAGCACACTGTCAACAACCAACCACTAAGTCCACCCTGTTCCTTGGTATTCTAGAAGCTGCCTCCTAACTCCCAGCAAAAGAAAATTCCCAGTGTCTGTTCCACTATAAGATATAGGTGGTTATTTCCGTTCCTTCTGACATCATCAGTACCCACGACTGAGCTTTATTTGGGATTTACCATGTGCTCTCAAGCACCCAGGCAAGGCAGGAGCCCTTCAGAACATGTTACCTTACTTAATCTCCTCAGCAACCTTGCAGGGCAGGTTCATCACAGGTGCAGACACTGAGGCACACAGGGGCCCGGAGCCAAGGTGGAATAACAACAGGGCAGAGGGGCCACGATGGGTACACAGATGCTACCAGAGCCTGCCCTAGCTACAAGTGTGTGTCCTCCCCACCCCCACCCCACCCCCACTGCTCCTTTTCAGCCTCACTGAAGGAGCTTTTGTTCATATCCCAGTTCTTTACTTACTACATTTGAGACTCCAGACCTCTCTGAGCCTCTTTTCTTCAAACATAAATATGGATAAAAATGACTTTGCCATAAATGATCTACACAAACCATACAGCACTAGGCCCAATGAGTGACAGCTATTTTACAATGGAGCGCCCACTCCCAGAGCACTCCTGAAATGGCCCCTCCACCCCAGTGGGCCTCTCCTCGCTGCTGTTTCCCACCTGGTGATCTGACAAGGCAGCTTCTTAACCCGGTTGAGGAGGGTGTCTGCTGTCCCCCGGTGCAGGGGCTCTGGGCGAAGCAGGGCCACACCCCGGCGGGAAGGGCCCCCTCGAGACTCCTTCCTGAGGAAGGGAAAGATGCAGGGAAGGATAGGGTCAGGAGCAGCAAGCTGGATGTCTGAGGTCTGGAGAACAGTGGGGTCTAGGAACGACATAATGGCATTGGAAGGCAGGCACTGTGACCTGAGAGGGCATGGAGGTGGGAGGGCAGAGCAGAGATTTTCTGGAATGGTTCTAAGGGGAGAGATACAGCAAAAGAACTGGGGCCTCACCGGCTGCTGGGTTCTTCCCAGTGGAAGTCGACTGGCCAGCTCCGGAAGTCAAAGTTGTAGTTGGCAAGCTGCCTCTGCAGTGGGCACGAGAGGCAAAGGGGTACTGAGAACTCAGGGGAGGCTCTCCTACCCACCCTCAACAACACCTTCGTTATCCAGGGGTCTGATCCCCACACATCATGGGGAAACCAAGCGGAGGTCAATACCCTCCCAATTCTCAGATGGAAAATTCTAACAGGACCAGAAAATCAGGGGAGATGGTATGCCCCATCAGGTATCAGGACTGGCCTGTCTGCCCTCTTCCAAGCTAAGAACCTAACACTCTGCTTTTCTAAAAAACTAAGTCTGACCCATCCCCAGGAGGAGTGGCTGAAGGTGCTAGTGCTTTTGAGTGACGGGTAGTAGGGGTCGCTGGCTGGTCACGGTCTATTCCCCACCTGGGTCCCTTATAGGGTGCTGTCTTAGAAGCTTAGAAATCTCCCAGCAGATCACACTGACAGACCCAAGGTTGAGTGAGACAGAGAGGAGGGAAGTCACGCCCACAGTGGGCTCCTCTGCCATGTGGGGCCACCCGTTGAAGGAAGCTCTGACTTCCATCCTCACAACTACATCCCTTCCTCAACTCCTGCAGCCATGGATCAGTGTTGCCCTACAGCCCATCCGAACCTCGGGCCACCCCACTGAGCCAGTCCACATGCCTTTTTTTTTTTTTTTGAGGCAGGGTCTCGTGCTGTTGCCCAGGCTGGAATGCAGTTGGTGCAATCATAGCTCACTGCAGCCTCAAACTCCCAGGCCCAAGTGATCCTCCTACCTTAGCCTCTGGAGTAGCTGGGACTACAGACATGTGCTACCATGCCCAGCTAATTTTTAAAATTTTCTTTAGAGACAAGGTCTTACTATGTTGCCCAGGCTGGTCTCCAACTCCTGGGCTGAAGCGATCCTCCTGCCTTGGCTTCCGAAAGTGCTGGGATTATAGGCATGAACCACCTCACCAGCTCCACGTTTTTTGACGGCAGTGGGAGCTGTGTCTTTTTTTTTTTTTTTTTTTGAGATGGAGTCTCACTCTGTCGCCCAGGCTGGAGTGCAGTGGCACGATCTCGGATCACTGCAAGCTCTGCCTCCCGGCTTCACGCCATTCTCCCGCCTCAGCCTCCAAGTAGCTGGGACTACAGGTGCCTGCCACCACCATGCCCGGCTAATTTTTGTACCTTTAGCAGAGATGGGGTTTCACCATGTTAGCCAGGATGGTCTTGATCTCCTGACCTCGTGATCCACCCGCCTCGGCCTTCCAAAGTGCTGGGATTACAGGTGTGAGCCACCGCGCCCGGCCTAGCTGTGTCTTAATACTTGACTATATTCGTCCCCCACCCCCTGAGCTCCTAGCACTCTATTTTGAGGGTTTTTATTTTCTGCACAGAAATTTTTTGACATTTCAAAAATAATTTGACTAACAGAGAGCAATAGAAAAATTATACAAAAAGGTAAATGGCAAAACAAAACAAGATGACTAAAAGCAAATTTCAGGCAGGCTTTGCTCAGACCTGCTCTCAAATCTGGACTTAGCCACTTTCTTGCTCTATGACTCCGAATGGGTCACTTAACCTCTTTTTGCCTCTGTTTTCTCACATTTACAAATAAAGGTAATAATGCCACCTCACTCAGCTGTTGTGAGGATCAGAAAGGGTGTGTGCCAAATGCTTCAGCCAGTAGCATAGTACAGGGCATCATTACGCAGCTCCATAGTGTGGAGTAGCCAGGAATGTGATGATGGTGGTCATAGCTGTTTGATCCTAGAAACCTCCCATAACAGAAAAGAGCTCTATGGGGCCCCAAAGCCCATCCTCAAAGATAATCACAGTCCAGCACCAGCCGGCTTGGCATAATTCCCAAGACACTGAGCCCTAGCTTTTCTCCCTCCTGGCACCATGCTGTACTCCCAGGCATAGGAGTGGACACACCTGTCCACCTTGTCCCATCCACAAACAAGGATAGCATGGTATTCAATGCATACAACAAAATTAAACATTTATAGAACTGAGCTGCTGTGATACAGAGAAAACTACCTTCTAAGAAACATTGTGGGCTGGGTGCAGTGGCTCACACCTGTAATCCCAGCACTTTGGGAGGCCAAGGCAGGTGGATCACCTGAGGTCAGGAGTTTGAGACCAGCCTGACCAACACAGCTAAACCCCATCTCTACTAAAAATACAATATTAGCTGGGCGTGGTGGCGCATGCCTGTAATCCCAGCTACTTGGGAGGCTGAGGCAGGAGAATCGCTTGAACCCAGGAGGCGGAGGTTGCAGTGAGCTGGAATCATGCCATTGCACGCCAGCCTGGGCAACAAGAGCGAAACTCCATCTCAAAAGAAAAAAAAAGAAACACTGTGGGCCAGGCACAGTGGCTCACACCTATAATCCCAGCACTTTGGAAGGCCAAGGCAGGCAGATCGTCTGCAGTCAGGAGTTCAAGACTAGCCTGGCCAACATGATGAAACCCTGTCTCTGCTAAAAATACAAAAATTGGCCAGGCACGGTGGCTCACGCCTGTAATCCCAGCACTTTGGGAGGCCGAGGCAGGCGGATCACAAGGTCAGGAGATCAAGACCATCCTGGCTAACATGGTGAAACCCCGTCTCTACTAAAAATAAAAAAATTAGCCGGGCGTGGTGGCAGGCGCCTGTAGTCCCAGCTACTCAGGGGGCTGAGGCAGGACAATGGCATGAACCCGGGAGGCCGAGCTTGCAGTAAGCTGAGATGGCGCCACTGCACTCCAGCCTGGGCGACAGAGTGAGACTCCGTCTCAAAAAAAAAAAAAAAAAATTAACTGGGCGTGGTGGTGTGCACCTGTAATTCCAGCTACTCAGGAGGCTGAGGCATGAGCATTGTTTGAACCCGGGAGTTGGAGGTTGTAGTAAACTGAGATTGTACCACTATACTCCAGCCTGAGTAAGAGTGAGACTCTGTCTCAAAGAAGAAAAAAAAAAAAAGAGGCCAGGAGTGGTGGCTCACGCCTGTAATCCCAGCACTTTGGGAGGCTGGGGCAGGCAGATCGCCTGAGGTCATGAGTTGGAGACCAGCCTAGCCAACATGGTGAAACCCCGTCTCTACAAAAAATACAAAAATTAGAGGGTGTGGGTGGTGCGTGCCTGTAATCCTAGCTACTCAGGAAGCTGAGACAGGAGAATCACTTGAACCTGGGAGGTGGAGAGTGCAGTGAGCCGAGATCGTGCCATTGCACTCCAGCCTGGGCAACAAGAGCGAAACTCCATCTCAAAAAAAAAAAAAGAAAAAGAAAAAAGAAACATTGTGGAATGTTTCTAGTTTAGCCAGTTCTTACAGGTGAGGGAGGGGGAAGATTGTTCTAGCAGAATATTCCATTAGAAGTGGTAGGGAGGAAAAATTCCTCAGGTGGACAGTTCACTAATGGAGGTGAGAAGGGATACAGCAATGTGCAAGCAAACACCCAGTGTGGTGGGTGGTAAAACACACCTCCTCTTCCTGCAGAAGCCAGTGTCTGGTGCTCTGAGGGACAACTGAGAAAGCTGCTATTGGGTGCCTGTGTGGCACTTTTCCTAGGGCCTCTCACCTTGTTTTCTGAAGACTGGTTCCGATGTGTTGCTTCCAAGATGGTGATGAACTGCCGGTACTGGGGGTTGGTCCAGCGGCCAATGCCTGGTAGAAAAAGGACAGGAAACAGTGCTAGGAAAACTGGGAAGCAGAAAGCCTAGGTTTTAGGAAAAGAATTGGAGATGGGCTAGAAGAAGGCCCTGTAAGAAAAAGTGAAAGAAAAAGGAACTGAGGGCATAGGATGCGGAGAAATAGATGTGAGCCAACCCCCTTCCTCCAAATCCAGCAACTGGCTACAGGACGCTTCTTCTCCCTAGCTTCTGCAGTTTGTGTCTTTATAGACAATCCTTAACCTACCATCTTCCAGAATGTTCCTCTTCCTCAGTCTTTAAACACTGTCATATAACCTATTAAATGACACTATTAAACACTATCATATAATACTATTCTCCCTTGCGAATATCAAATTTCTCTATTTTTCACTGCCATTCTTCTCCAATGTTTGCTTTCTGCCTCTTTTCTGTATATTCTAGCCCCTTGCCATCTGGCTTCAGAGTCTCCGACTCCTGCCCATAATTACTTCCTCACTGAATTCCTGACTCTTCTATCCTCATTCTCTTCAACTGTACTACTCAGCATTCTCCCTGTCCCTCAAGATTCTTCCTGCCTCTGCTTCCTGGGCCCATCCTTGACTCCTTCCAGTTCCTGAACAGTTCCTCTCCTGCCTCCTTTCTGCTTTCCTTTCTGAAGCAGAAGCAACTCTCAGTGCTGACTCTCTCTCCTCTCTCTTTTCACTTACACAGTCAGTGATTGCATCCACTCTCCTTTCACTGCTGAGCCACCTCAAACCCTAACTTCTCTCCTCACTGACTTGGCAGGTGTCGTGTGTCAGACAGGCACCGTACTACACACGGGAGACTCAGCAGGAAATGAGATACACAGCTCCTGGCTCTCAGAGAGCTGGCATTCTGGTTGGGGTTAGGTACAGCCAGGAGAAGACAATAAACAACATTTCAGAGAGGGATAAGTGCTACAGAGAAAATACAACAAGAATGAACCAGAACTTTATGTGTCATCAATGGTATTCCCCCAAAACGATATGATGAGAGAATGATGTGTGCTGCAGAATGATTTGTACAACATTTATGCCAAAAATGTAAAATGTGCAAAATAATACATACTGCTTATAGATACCATATTTCATAGATTCTAAAATGTATATTTTTTAACCCTTGAAAACTCTGAAATTAGAATTCATTTTACAATTGATGGCAGCTTAGACTTGAGGAACTGAGGTATATGTTTCATAAAAGTATGTGCCAGAAAAAAAAAAAACCCACACCAAATGACAATTATTACTTCTGAGGAAAGAGGAAGATGGGACTGAAAGGATTCCAATGGGAACTCCAACCCTAACTGTGGTGCTTTAGTATTTTGTTGACAGAAAGCATTTAAAGCAAATATCACAAAACTATATATAAAAAAAAAATCACAAAACTATACATCAAAAAATTTAAAAAGGCTTTTATATTTTGTTCTCTGGACTTTTCTGTATTTTTTCTTTTTTCTTTTTTTTGAGACAGAGTTTTGCTCTTGTTGCCCAGGCGGGAGTGCAATGATGTGCTCTCGGCTCACTGCAACCTCCGCCTCCCGGGTTCAAGTGATTCTCCTGCCACAGCCTCCCAAATAGCTGGGATTACAAGCGCCCGCCACCATGCACAGCTAATTTTTTCTGTATTTTTTCTAAATTAAAAATAAATAAAATAAAAAACTAAGACAAAACTGAGCAGTGGGAGCTACTTTTAGACAGGGTGGTCAGGGAAGGCCTCTCTGAGGAGAGAGCCCAGCCCTGCAGAGATCAGGGGGCAGAACACCTCAGGCAGAAGGTCCTGGACCCAACTGCGACCATCCAGCCCTGACCCCACCACCCCCATGTTGAAGCATCGCCCATCACCTGGTTGTCATCTTATGTACCCACTAGGGGTAGGTGATCTGTCCTCTTTATTTTTTTAAATTGCGAGATACAACATATGTACATAAAACATATATTCAGTTTAAAAAATACAAAGCAAACATTCATGTGACTATCACCTAGGTCAACAAAGAGAACACAGCCACCTCTCAGCAGGGCTCTCCCCCACTCTGTTCTCCCCCACCCCAGGTAATCACTCTCCTAACTTTTGAGAAAACCATGCCCTTGCTGGGCGCGGTGGCTCAAGCCTGTAATCTCAGCACTTTGGGAGGCCGAGGCGGGTGGATCACGAGGTCAGGAGATTGAGACCATCCTGGCTAACACGGTGAAACCCCATCTCTACTAAAAAATACAAAAAAACCTAGCCGGGTGTGGTGGTGGGCGCCTGTAGTCCCAGCTACTCGGGAGGCTGAAGCAGGAGAATGGCGTGAACCCGGGAGGCGGAGCTTGCAGTGAGCCGAGATCGCGCCACTGCACTCCAGCCTGGGGGACAGAGCGAGACTCCGTCTCAAAAAAAAAAAAAAAAAAAAAGAAAACCATGCCCTTGTTGTCTTCGGTGTTCTACCTCAAACATGCACATCCCTTTTGAATTTTATATAAATGAAAACATACTGCATACATTATTTTGTGGTTAGCTTCTTCTATTTAACACAACATTTGAGAAATTCATCTGCATTGCTTTTGTTTATCTGGAGACAGAGTCTCGCTCTGTCACCCAGACTGGAGTGCAGTGGTGCTATCTTGGCTCACTGCAACCTCTGCCTCCCAGGTTCAAGCAGTTCTCATGCCTTAGCCTCCCAAGCAGTTAAGACTATAGGCATGTGCCACCATGCCCAGTTAATTTTTTGTATTTTATTTTTTCTGAGATGGAGCCTTGCTCTGTTGCCCAGGATGCAGTACAGTAGCGCAATCTTGGCTCACTGCAACCTCTGCCTCTTGGATTCAAGCAATTCTACTGCCTCAGCCTCCCGAATAGCTGGGATTACAGGTGCTCACCACCATACCTGGCTAATTTTTTTTTGTATGTTTAGTAGAGACGGGGTTTCACCATGTTGGACAGACTGGTCTTGAACTCCTGACCTCTGGTGATCTGCCTGCTTCAGCCTACCAAACTGCTAGGATTACAGGCATGAGCCACTGCACCTGGCTTCATCTGCGTTGTTGAGCGTAGCTACAGTTTGTTCATTTGCATTGCTATATAGTGTTCTCTTGCATGGCTATTGCATGGAACTTTTTTTTTTTTTTGAGACGGAGTCTTGCTCTGTTGCCCAGGATGGAGTGCAGTAGCGCAATCTCGTCTCACTGCAACCTTTGCCTCCCAGGTTCAAGCTATTCTCCTGCCTCAGCCTCCTAAGTAGCTGGGATTACAGGCACGTGCCACCATGCCCAGCTAATTTTTGTATTTTTGGTAGAGACGGGGTTTTACCATGTTGGTCAGGCTGGTCTCAAATTCCTGACCTCGTGATCCACTGGCCTCTGCCTCCCAAAGTGCTGGGATTACAGGCATGAGCCACCACACCCGGCCACACAGAACATATTTTATCCATCCTACTATTTGTAGCCACTGGAGTTGTTTCCAGCTTAGGATTATTACAAACAATGTTGTATGCTGTATTCTTGTACATCTATATTGTTTATACATGTGCAGGAGTTTTCCTAGTATGTATACATATATAGAATTGTTGTAGGGTATATGCATCTTTTCTAGATAAAAGCAGCCAGGCATAGTGGCTCACATCTATAATCCCAGTACTTCGGGAGGCTGAGGTGGGAGGATCACTTTGAGTTCAGGAGTTTGAGACCAGCCTGGACAACATGGTGAGACCCTATCTCTTAAAAAAAAAAAAGCAAACCTTTTTGTTACTTTTCAGTTATTTTTTCATATTTATAACCCAAGTCTTTTAAGGAAAAGATCATGCCTTAAACCATTCTCAATGATTCCCTCTCGGAGGCCCATCACTAAAATGTATTTGCACAAGGTACTTAATTTTTAACCAGTGACAGTGACAGATAAGATTCAAACCAGGTTTCCTCTCCACCTACCTCGGAGGCAGGCCACACCTGCCAGAAGTAGCAGCAATGTCCCAGCATAGTGAGAAAACGGCACCACTTTGGACAAACTCAAGTAACCTGGGAAGGGAGAGGGACAATGTGAGACCCTCTCCGCAATGTCCCTCAGCTCCTCTTCCCAGTTCAGCCCCAACCTCCACCCCACACTCCCTGTTTGGAACAGCCATACCCTAAGAGGAAGAAGATGCCTGATGGAAGAGGGAAGCCAAGCCATCTTCACAGGTCCCCTCTCCTCTTTAGGGAGCTGGCTCATCTGCCAACAACCTGCCCATTTGCTACCCCACCACCTTTGAAACCACACTGACCTTTCCTGTACAAGTAGAAGAAGGCGAAGGGAGAGGAGTAATAAGAGATGGACCAGAATACTGAAGCCTGCAGCAGAGAGACAGGGACAGGCAATCAATACACACACACACACACACCTGCCATTCCAGGCATATACTATACACTCTGAGCAAGATGGACAACCTGAGGGATATCATATCATATTTGGTGTATGACACCATGAATACAGTAGGTGCTCAGTATTTGTTGAAAAGTAGTGTGTCAGTGTAATGGAGGCTGGGAAAATTTGGTACAGGCTCTATTTTCTTCCTCTGGAATTATGGAAGAATTATGTCTTCCATCTCCAGACATAATTCCATCACATTTAAAGGCAGTCTCTCTGTCTACTCAAGTTAATCAAGCCTTTTCAATTGGCCCTGCTCAGGACAGCCCCTGGCCTGGTCCCCAAGAGATGCGCAAACGTCACCACAGGAACTGTGCCAGAAAGAACAGCTGTCCCTGCAGCCAAAGAGGTTAGTTGCCAGGGAGGACAGGTCACTGGGGAACTGCAGGACTTAGCACCTGCAGATGGTCCCAAGAGTAAACATGTTTTCCTTACGGCTCAGGTTGCCCCCAGAGAAAGCAGTGCTACATACCAAAGGGGAGTGCCAAGTATGCACATTTAGAGTGTGCCTGTGTGTCTGTGTTGGAGAGGTCTGCTGCAGAGCCCAGGGCATCCCCCAACCCCAGGGCACTGTTGCTCCCAAGTTAGGGAGGGCTAAGTTCAAGAGGACAGGTGGGTCTGAAAGATGCAGAGTCCCAGATGCCAGGGTAGACATACCAGTGCCAGGATGCTGTCAGCATGTTTCTCCAGGGCACGGGGCTGATAGTACGTATCCTGCCAAAACAGATGGCCTCCTTAAGGACCCTGCCCACTGGCAGGTCCTTTCCCTTCCCTTTCAGAAGCCCTGCTGTGTGTCCTCTGGTTCTAGTCTCGTTGACTATCTCTCTTGAAACATCCCTGGCCCCCACAGAAACTCCTCTTCCTCACCCTCACTCTGAACCTAATTTCCCACCCCTGACCATGGGAACAAACACAGGGAGCTGGATTTGGAAGCAAAAGTGAAAGCAGCATTGGACGATTTTTGCTCCTTTTCCACAGCCTAGTTTCAAATGGATTGCAGGCGCGTGCATGTGGGGAGAAGGGTTAGTTTGAGAAGAAAGAAAAGACACCTAGACAATCTAAGAAGGAAAGAAAAGCATCAGAAATAAGAGTAGTTGACTAAGAAGAGAATGTGGGTAGGAGCGGGCAGTTTGTAGGAGACAGTAACACAATGAGACAACTGATAAAAAGGAAGAGAATATTTAGAACAGCCTACCACCACCCGCCAGCTCTCCAGAATACAATGACTCGGGTCTCCAGGCTAGGTTGGGCGGGGGTTGAGGGGAGGACCGACGGATACAGGATCTGTAAAAGTCATTCTGAAATTCAAGGCGAGGGTAAAGGGAAGATAAAAACAGAGCCGGGGGAGGCATGAAGAGGCACTGAAGAAGAGGAAACTGGGAGTCTGACAGCAAAATTCAACGGCTCCCCAGTCCGCGCAGGGTCTCTTCCCGGGACTCAAGACTCAACTGGGACCGGCACGAACCACGACACACAGGGTCGGGGGGACGCGGAGAGGAAAGAACAAAGAGTGGCAGTCGGAATGAGAAAGCGGTAAAGAGCGAAAAAGAAAGGAGGCGGCCAGTCCGTAGGCGTGACTTTAACTCAGGAAGCACACAGAGCGCAGATTTTGCGGATAACTGGCTTGACAAGCAGGCTCCCCTTATTTCCCATTATGGGCACTTCTGGGGAGCAAAAGGCCGTAAAGGGTTTGGACTGTACCACGTTCTTCGGTGGGGAGGAACTCGACTCACCCAGGAGCTGGAATGGGGGGCAGTGACTGCCGTTGGCGTCTCAGGGACGCTGGCCGGGGCCCTTTCAGAGTCCCTCTCCCGGTAGATTTTGTAGAGCCGGGGGCCTAGGACGCAGCTCAGCAGCTTCGCCATGGCCCCGGCTCGGGCCGCTGCTCTTCCAGCAGCAGGTCCCCCTGCCGGCCCCGCCCTCCCTGCCTCTGAGGTGTTGTGTGCCCTTGACGTCAGCCCGTACCGGCTCCGCCTCCGGGCGAGTTGCGACATTTTCAGTGCTTCCTGAGAAGAGTTTCGCGCAGTTGGAGCTACGGGTACAGCAGTGGTCCGAAACTAGTGGAAGACCACTAGAACGCGGAGAATCAGAAAATTACCGGGCATGGTTCAATAATTTTTTTCTGTCTCATTATTGGCAGACTCTAGAGCGACAGCGGAAACGAGGGGTGAGATTAGGAGTACTTGATAAGAGTAACCGAAAACATAAGGTGTCTAGGAATGTATCTAGTACAAGAAATGCAAGGTTTTATGAAGAAAACTATAAAAAGTTATTGAAAAGGCAAACTGGCCCGGCCCGGCGCAGTGGCTCACGCCTGTAGTCCTAGCACTTTGGGAGGCCGAGGCGGGGGGATCACTTGAGGCCAGGAGTTCGAGACCAGCCTGGCCAACATGGTGAAACCCCATCTCTACTAAAAATACAAAAATTAGCCTGGCATGGGTGGTGCGCGCCTGTAATCCCAGCTACTCGGGAGGCCGAGACGCGAGAATCGCTTGAACGCGGGAGGCAGAGGTTGCAGTGAGCCGAGATCTTCCCACTGCACTTCAGCCTTGGTGACAGAGCAAGACTCTGTCTCTAAATAAATAAATAAAGGTAAACTGGCCCAGCGCGGTGGCTCACGCCTGTAATTCCAACACTTTGGGTGGCCGAGGGATGATTGCTTGCGTCCAGGAGTTCCAGGCCATGGCTCATGCCTGTAATTCCAACACTTGGGGTGGCTGAGAGAGGATTGCTTGCGCCCTGGAGTTCCAAGCCAGCCCAGGCAACATAGTGAGACCCCATCTCTACACAAAATACCAAGGGGGAAAAAAAAAAGACCTAGCAGGGTGTGGTGGTGCCCACCTGTAGTCCCAGCTACTTGGGAGGCCAAGGTGGGAGGGTCGCTTGAGCCCGGGAGTTTGAGATCGCTCCATGCACTCCAGCCTGGGTGACAGAGCCAGACCCTGCCTCAAAATAATAACAATAATAATTGAAAAAATAAAAAAAGAAAGAGGTAAACGAAAAGCTTTTCAATAAATGGAAAGCTACACCATGGTCCTGGATACGAAAATTCAGCACAGTAAGATATGCGGAATATTTGTAAAAAGAAAATAAATGAATCATTACTGTTATGCATGAACTGGATCTTAAAACCATGATGCTGAGTGAAAATAGAAAGCCACAGAAGAATGTATACGTGATACTAGTATATTAGATTCAAAAACACATAAAATTTAATGATAAAGCAAGTGGAGAAGAAAGAGAAAATTCAGAATTGTGGTTACACAGCATAGAGGATCTCTGACTGAAACGGAATATTCTTTTTTTCTGTTTTTTTTTTTTTTTTTTTTTGAGACAGGGTCTAGCTCTTTCACCCAGGCTGGAGCACAGTGGCACAATCACGGCTCACTGCCCTGATCCTCCACCTGCTGGGCTCAACCATCTTTCTGCCTCAACCTCCTGAGTAGCTGGGACTATAGGCCCACACCACCATACTCGGCTAATTTTACAAGGTCTCACCATGTTGCCCAGGCTGGTCTCGAACTCCTGGGCTCAAGTGAACCTCCTGCTTTGGCCTCACAGAGTGCTGGGATTACAGGCATGAGCCACTGTGCCTGGCCTGGAATATTCTATTTCTTTTTCTTTTTTTTTTTTCGAGACCGAGTTTCGCTCTTATTGCCCAGGCTGGAGTGCAATGGCCCGATCTCGGCTCACCACAACCTCTGCCTCTGGGGTTCAAGCGATTCTCCTGCCTCAGCCTCCCAAGTAGCTGAGATTACAGGCATGTACCACCATGCCCTGCTAATTTTTTTATTTTTAGTAGAGATGGGGTTTCTCCATGTTGGTCAGGCTGGTCTTGAACTCCTGACCTCAGGTGATCCGCCTGTCTCATCCTCCCAAAGTGGTGGGATTACAGGCATGAGCAACCGAGTCCGGCCTGGAATATTCTATTTATTTATTTATTTATTTATTTATTATTTATTTATTTTTTTGAGACGGAGTCTCGCTCTGTCACCAGGCTGGAGTATAGTGGCATGATCTCTGCTCACCGCAGCCTCTGCCTCCTGAGTTCAAGCGATTCTCCTGCCTCAGCCTCCTGAGTAGCTGGGACTACAGGCATCCACCACCACACTCAGCTAATTTTTGTATTTTTAGTAGAGACAGGGTTTCACCATGTTGGCCAGGATAGTCTCGATCTCTTGACCTCGTGATCCGCCTGCCTCAGCCTCCCAAAGTGCTGGGATTACAGGCGTGAGCCACGGCGTCTGGCCTTTATTTTCAGAGTTGGGGTCTTGCTCTGTTGCCCAACCTCAAACTTCTGGCTTCAATCAACCCTCCCACCTTGGCCTCCAAAAGTGTTAGGATTGTAGACATGAGCCACCATGCCTGGCCAGGCTTCTTTTACTCTCATTATATTGTGAGATTCAACTTTGTTGCAAATCACTAGGTTTGTTCATTCTCATTGCTGTCCAGTCTTCTACTCTGTTAAGCATTTATCCATTATATAGTTGTACTTCATATAGTTTTTGGTATGTATGGAATATTTCATCAAAATAATTTTAAAAATAAATAAATTACACATTAAAACTGTAATAACTGCATGAAGATCTGCCTTAGGAGTTTTTGCCGTTCAGAAGGATGAATCAGCCCGTTAGCCTTGTCCCTGAGTAATAATTTAATACACTTATTAGGGTTTCAGGAGAGGTCCGGGGTATGCCAGACAACCACAGGGAAAGTCATTCCAAATCATTTACGGGACACTGACTCGATACACAGTCTTGTGCTGGGTTCTGTGGAGGACCAACATAAAAACTCAAACTCAGTTTCTTCACTCATAGCTGACATTTCTTTTCTTTTCTTTTCTTTTTCTTTTTTTTTTTTTTTTTTTTTTTTTTTGAGATGAAGTCTCGCTCTGTCTCCCAGGCTGGAGTGCAGTAGCACGATCTCGGCTCACTGCAACCTCCACCTCCCGGGTTCAAGCGATTCTGGTGCCTCTCAGCTTCCTAAGTAGCTGGGATTACAGGCACATGTCACCACGCCTGGCTAATTTTTGTATTTTTTGTAGAGACAGGGTTTCGCCATGTTGGCCACGCTGGTCTCGAACTCCTGACCTCAAGTGATCCACCCAACTCATGGCTGACCTTTCTTAGGAGTGAAAGAGACCTCAGAATGTACTTCCAGACTGACAAGAGCTAGACAGGCAGGACCACTTCTCTGCATGGTTTTTTGCATGGAAAGTCTTTATTTGAGCCCCTTAGCTGATGTGGAATCAGAAGAGCAAAAAGGTCATCTTCAGAGTGGCCTGGGCTGGGTCCTTTTCTCTCCAGGATAGAAAAGTGGTGGTCACTTTATCCCTAGTAGACATGCTGCTGGGCTTTATCGCCCCAGCATTCCCATCCCCTCCAGAGCCCCTTGTCACTCCAGACCAGCGAGTGTGGGCCTTTATCTGGACTCTGCTTCCTCCCTGGGGACACCAGGTCTTGGAGCAAGAGAACTTGGCAGGCTCTCCCCATGGCAGTCTTATTCCTCCTCCTGTTCCTATGTGGAACTCCCCAGGCTGCAGGTAAGGGGCAAGAGGTACGGGATTCCTTAGCTATTTGCAAGGTTGGGGAGGGACTACTGCTCTTTCTCCTAGGAGCCTGGCGAAGGCATCTGACTCAAGAAGATAGAATTACCCCAACCAACCTCCTCCTGCCTCTGACACTAGGGAAGACCCAGAGGCAACGAGGGTCCAGGTTATGCAGTTTCCTTTATAAAATAAGAAGAATGAGTAAATGCTTCCAGAAAAGTAGAAATGAGTAGAAGAGATGTGGGCATTTGCCAACTTTCAGCCTTTTCCCTCTTGCCCTCAGACCCCCTCACTGGCTGGGGGAGAGAGGAGGAAAGCCCTTACCCTCTTCTCTCCACCTGTCTTATTTTTGTAGCTGTCACTTGAGAAATGTGGTCACCAGCCAGGCCTGTGCTGGGGGACCCCAGAAGGGAAGGAAGCCAGGGTTGAAGATCAAATGGGGGGTTATTGATCTGATGGAGGTCTCTGGCCTCATACAACCCTCTTCCCACAGACAACATGCAGGCCATCTATGTGGCCTTGGGGGAGGCAGTAGAGCTGCCATGTCCCTCACCACCTACTCTACATGGGGACGAACACCTGTCATGGTTCTGCAGCCCTGCAGCAGGCTCCTTCACCACCCTGGTAGCCCAAGTCCAAGTGGGCAGGCCAGCCCCAGACCCTGGAAAACCAGGAAGGGAATCCAGGCTCAGACTGCTGGGGAACTATTCTTTGTGGTTGGAGGGATCCAAAGAGGAAGATGCCGGGCGGTACTGGTGCGCTGTGCTAGGTCAGCACCACAACTACCAGAACTGGAGGGTGTACGACGTCTTGGTGCTCAAAGGTGAGTGGGGGCATGCAGACCAGGGGCTACTGTGGCCCAGGAAGTCCAGGTGAAGAACTGAGGAATCCCTCTCTCCCCTACAGGATCCCAGTTATCTGCAAGGGCTGCAGATGGATCCCCCTGCAATGTCCTCCTGTGCTCTGTGGTCCCCAGCAGACGCATGGACTCTGTGACCTGGCAGGAAGGGAAGGGTCCCGTGAGGGGCCGTGTTCAGTCCTTCTGGGGCAGTGAGGCTGCCCTGCTCTTGGTGTGTCCTGGGGAGGGGCTTTCTGAGCCCAGGAGCCGAAGACCAAGAATCATCCGCTGCCTCATGACTCACAACAAAGGGGTCAGCTTTAGCCTGGCAGGTAAACTGAGGAAGGAGACGGAAAGGGATGTTCTTTCACTTCAGCCTCCCAAGTAGCTGGAATTACAGGCGCCCGCCACCATGCCTGGATAATTTTTTGTACTTTTAGTAGAGACGAGATTTCACCATTTTGGCCAGGCTGGTATCAACCTCCTGACTTCTAGTGATCTGCCTGCCTCAGTCTCCCAAAGTGCTGGGATTATAGGCATGAGCCACCGCACCTTTAAATTTTTTGTAGAGACAGGATCTTGCTATGTTGCCCAGTCTGGTCTCAAACTACTGGCCTCAAATGATCCTCCTATCTTGGTCTCCCAAAGTGCTGGGGTTACAGGCATGAGCCATCACATCTGGCTATTTTTTCTTGAAAGAAAGGGTGAATTACTATAAAGGGTGTGAGGGGAAAGTGTGGTTATGGCTGGTGGTCTGCTCTGTAGTTGGTTGCCCATGCGTGAGCAGGGGGCATTGCCATTCTCTACTTTTTATTTTATTTTATTTTATTTTATTATTATTAGGCCAGGCATGGTAGCTCAATCCTGTAATCCCAGCACTTTGGGAGGCCGAAGCAGGCGGATCACTTGAGGTTGGGAGTTCAAGACCAGCCTGACTAACATGGAGAAATTCTGTCTCTACTAAAAATACAAAATTAGCCGGGTATGGTGGCACATGCCTCTAACCCCAGCTACTCGGGAGGCTGAGGCAGGAGAATCACTTGAACCTGGGAGGTGGAGGGCGCAGTGAGCCAAGATCACGCCATTGCACTCCAGCCTGGGCAACAAGAGCGAAGCTCTATCTCAAAAAAAAAATTGTATTTTTAGTAGAGACGGGGTTTCACCATGTTGGCCAGGATGGCCTTGATCTCTTGACCTCATGATCTGCCTGCCTCAGTCTCCCAAAGTGTTAGGATTATAGGTGTGAGCCACCACGCCTGGCCTTTTTTTTTTTTTTTTTTTTTTTTTTGGGATGGAGACTTGTTCTGTTGGCCAGGCTGGAATGCAGTGGCACGATCTTGGCTCACTGCAACCTCTGCCTCTTGGGTTCAAGCTATTCTCCCATCTCAGCCTCCTGAGTAGCTGGACTACAGGTGCCTGCCACCACGCCTGGCTAACTTTTGTGTGTGTGTGTGTGTTTTTTTTTGTTTTTTTTTTGAGACAGAGTCTCTCTCTGTCGCCAGGCTGGAGTGCAGTGGCGCAATCCCGGCTCACTGCAACCTCTGACTCCCTGGTTCAAGTGATTCTCCTGCCTCAGCCTCTCGAGTAGCTAGGATTACAGGCATATGCCACCACGTCCAGCTAATTTTTGTATTTTTAGTGGAGCCGGGGTTTCACCATGTTGGCCAGGATAGTCTCAATCTCCTGACCTCGTGATCTGCCCGCCTTGGTCTCCCAAAGTGCTGGGATTACAGGTGTGAGCCACAGCGCCCGGCCTCTTTTTTGTGTTTTTAGTAGAGATGGGGTTTCACCATGTTGGTCAGGCTGGTCTCGACCTCCTGACCTCAGGTGATCCACCCACCTCGGCCTCCCAAAGTGCTGGGATTACAGGTGTGAACCACTGCGCCTGGCCTCAATTTTTATACTTTCAGTAGAGATGAGGTTTCATCATGTTGACCAGGCTGGTCTTGAACTCCTGACCTCAAGTGGTCTGCTCGCCTTGGCCTCCTAATGTGCTGGAATTACAGGCATGAGCCACTGTGCCTGGCCGCCATTCTCTATGGGTCAGGGTGAGAGGCCTGGAAAGGGGCAGAGTAGGGTGGAGGATATTGTGGGCAGGGAAGCTTACAAAGTCTTCTGTTGGAAGAGCCCACCAGACTGTGGAGGGGAAGCCTCTCTTTGGGGCACAGGGACAGGGCCCCTCACTACCTCCCTCCCATCCCTCTGGTCTGGCCCTTACTACAGCCTCCATCGATGCTTCTCCTGCCCTCTGTGCCCCTTCCACGGGCTGGGACATGCCTTGGATTCTGATGCTGCTGCTCACAATGGGCCAGGGAGTTGTCATCCTGGCCCTCAGCATCGTGCTCTGGAGGCAGAGGGTCCGTGGGGCTCCAGGCAGAGGTGAGTCCCTCCCTCCCCGGGGAAAGAAGAGGGCACATGGGTGGGAGGCAAAGGGCTAGGCTCACACCCCGCCTCTGTACCCCACCTCCTCTAGGGGAGGGGGCGAGGAACACGGCTCTAAGTTGTCTGCTGACTTCTCTTCTGTATCCCTGATGGCTCCTTCTCCCCAGATGCCTCGATTCCTCAGTTCAAACCCGAAATCCAGGTCTATGAGAACATCCATTTGGCCCGTCTTGGGTGAGGAACAGCTAGGGAACAGAGGCTTAAATCCTGGAGGGGACTGGGGATGGAGAGGAAACACGGGTTGGGTTGGGGATGGGCCCTCGTTCCTGAGGATGTGAAAAGTAGAGGTATCCTTAATCTGTCTCTCTGGAAAACCCCACAGCCCACCTGCCCACAAGCCCAGGTGATTTTGGTGACATCTGCTGGGAAGTGTGACCTGCTGTCTCGCTGGCCATCTGGCACCTGGAAGATTCCTCGACAACCTTAGCAAGGGGGGCGGGACTGAGAGTTCGACTTCACCATCCAGCTGGCCTCCAGCAGCCACCAAGCTGTGTATGGGGAGGGGTGGGGGACTGAAGGAAAGGAGGAGCATTATTCTGTGATGTAACCTACAAAAAGGTTTGGTCTCCTGTCTTGTAGCAGCAGTGGAGGGATGGCCCTGAGCCCATAGTACTGTGGGGTTGAGGGGAGCCTGAGGTTGCTGGTGGGGGCAAGGAGGATGGGTGTGCACAGGGAGGAGACAGGAATCTGGAGACTTGAGCAATGGTGAGGAATCCATTGCAGTGGAGCTGAAGGACAAATGGGGAAAACGGGGGAAGAGAGAGAAGGGAAGAGACTCAAGTCAGAGAAAGTGGAAAGAGATGGACAGAGGGAGAAAAATAGAAGCACAAAGTGGGAGGATGGAGGGACAGAGAAAATGGAAAGCCTCAACCCATCTCTAAATTAAGCCAGACCCCCACTACCCCATGTCTCATCCTCACAAAGAAGAGAGGGAACAGGCATATTTAATCAACCCCAGACTTCCTCACATGCAAGGGGAGGGAACTGAGTCAGGATAGAGATGCCTGTGCTCAGCTCCCACCCGGGGCCCCCTCCTTATCCTTCCTTATCCTAGGCACACACTCTTCCCTGTGGCGCCTTACCGGGGCATTCAGAGCATGTGAGCAGCTATCGCCACTCTGGCACTTCCTTCCTGCTGCCCTGAGGTCACACCCTATTTCTCGGGGGCAGAGGGAGTGTCTACTCAGGCTGGCAGGCCCAGTGGGGGTATGTTATTTATTGGGCCGGGGCCATGCTGGGATGTCTGTGAACCATGGGCGAGTCTGGGCTGGTGAAGCGAGGGAGGATATTGATGCTCCCAACTTGGCCATTCCCTAGTCTCAGGCAGAAATGAGCTGAGCTCCAGCCACACCCTCACAAGCAGCTCCACTGGGTGCCCTTTTGTGTCTCTGCTCAAGCTTGGGCCTTACTGGAAAAAAGCTTTCTCAGAAGTCTCACCTAAAGGCTTCAGGCTGCAGGGGCTTAAACTAAGCCATTGGCAAGAAAAAGGACGAAAATGACACAGATGGAGAATGAGGGGAGTGCCGTGGTCCAGGTTCCAGCTCCAGCCCAACCCACCAAGCAGCTACAGTTTGCTCTTAGAGCACACACACACAGACACACACACACACACACACACACACACACACACACTGCAGTATCTGCAGTATTACTGGACTCCTAGATAGACCTTTTATTAAAGGTACTCTTCATAGTCCCCCAAGCCCTCCATCCTGAGTTCCCGACCTACCACATTAGTCTTTCCTAGCAAGACTCTCCTCCTTACCATACCTGATGCTCCTTTGATCCCCTTGCCTGAGATCCACAGTGTCATCAAAATGCCTGCCTTGCCAGTGACCTGGGCTGACACGGGGCATCAGCAATGGGCATCTAGAAAAGACAAAAGACGCAGAATAGGTGTTCTTTATGAGGTTGGACTCTGGGCAGGTGCCTCCCCAGGCCTTGTGAGGGGTCTGTGAGGGGTCTGCTGAGAGATCTGGGGTCTCTGTACAAAATTAGGTTCTCGGGCATGTCTCAAAGTGTCTGTGCAGGTGTTTCCAGGGCCGCAGTGATGGCGGGGGGTATCCTGGGTTGGGGGCTGCAGATCCACGGAAGCTAGTGGAGGAGGTGTCCTCTCCCAGCGAAGCTGGCCACAAAGAGGGGCAGGGAGGCGAGGAGGCTGGTGAGCTGCTGTGGGGAAGCGGCTATGTTGCACAGGTCCTGCTCGCAGCAGTGGTGCCACAGAGTGTAGGAGTGCAGCCAGTAGGTGGCATAGCCTGGCAGAGGGCACTGGGCCCTTGAGAGGCAGCTTTTTCACTCAGTGATCTCACTCTGGTCTGTGGGATGAAAGAGGCATGCTGAGGCGGGGGCCACAGGAAAGGCCGGATGGATGGAGGTAGGGAGCCTCCTGGAGAAGGGCCATTGGACCAGAGTCCTACCTGAAGTGCCAATACTGATGCCACAAGCTTCATCGTCCCGACACTCGGTGGGAACAGGGTGGCAGGGTTTGGTGAAGCCACAGATGTAGCAGCGGAGCCTTCCCCGGGCAGGGGACATGGTGAGACCTGTTGAGGCAGCAGAGATTAGGAGAGCAGGAGAGGCAAACCCTCCCTGTGGGGCAGGCAGAGGCCAGATCCGGAGAGGGATCACAGAGAGAGGTGACACATGAAGCAGAGAGAGGAAAGCTGTGGAATAAGGGAGGAAAGCTGACAGAAGTAGAAAAAATAGCTGGGCGCAGTGGCTCACGCCTGTAATCCCAGCACGTTGGGAGGCCGAGGCGGGCTGATCATGAGGTCAGAAGATTGAGACCATCCTGGCTAACACAGTGAAACCCCGTCTCTACTAAAAATACAAAAAATTAGCCGGGCATGGTGGCACATGCCTCTAGTCCCAGCTACTTGGGAGGCTGAGGCAGGAGAATCTCTTGAATCTGGGTGGCTGAGGTTGCAGTGAGCCGAGATCATGCCACTGCACTCCAGCCTGGGTGACAGAACGAGACTCTGTCTCAAAAAAAAAGAGGGAGACGATGCAGGAAAAGAAACAGAGATGGAGGCAAGAGGGGTACAGGGATTGAGAGATGCGCAGACATGAACAGAAGCCACAAGAATCAGAGACCAACATAAAAAGAGTGAGACAAAAAGCCAGACCCAGCAGCAGGGAAGTTGAGGGGGTCAGTGAAAAAGTTAAGTAAATGGCACCAGAGACAGATAGGAAAATAGAAATTGACATTGACCAAAGGGCCCAGCACAGAAGCAACACGTGAAATAAGGGATAGGGGAGACAGGGGCGGATCAAAGATGCAGCAAGGGGGAGACAGTTATTCTCAAATGCCTTGAAAGGAAACTCTTCCTTTCCCACCTCATCAGGCTGGCCTTCCCAGTGGCTGGTCTCCCTGAAGTCCCCCACTCCCCCAGCTCTCTTCTTGGCCTCTTCCAGCACCCACACCCCTCTCCTCCCCAGCCCTCAGGTTCCTCCACATGCCCTTGTCCCCACCCCCAGCCCCCTGACCACTGAAGGTTCCCCAGCCCACCCTTACCCAGTGCCCCACAGAGGAACAGCACGCAGAGGAAGATGCTGGAGGTGCCCATGGCCAGACACAGGCTCAGGAATCTGGGAGAGGTGATCTGCACCCCGAGATCCCGGGATTTGTAGAGTTGGAGCATTTGAGCAAGACAGTGAGGAACCAGTAAACAAACACACCTAGGGAGTGAATCTGGGGGGCGGAACCATGACCAGATTCACCAGCCTGACCCAGCAGGCAGCGGGGGCCCCCAGCCTGCCCCTGCAAGGAGTCTGCCCTTGCCTGGAGGGTCTCCTCTGCTCTCTCAGCATGTTGTCTCTGTAACTTAGCTTCCTCTCCTGCTCCTGAGTTGTGTCTGTCGCCTTCCCTCCTACTCCTCCCCCTCCCTCCCCATGTCTCAAGCTGCTCCCTGGCTCTCTCAGCTTCTCTCTGTCTTTGTTTTCTCTGTCTTTCCCCCTCAGTGCTTTCATGTCTCTCAAAGTCACCCTCCTAAACAGCCCCGGCGTGGATCTGTTTGAGTGTAGAATCAACAATACCCCCACCCACACACCCACATGCACACACAAAGCCCAGCTGTGTAAGGGCGGACCCCACCCAGCTTCAGATCCCTTTGATCCCCCCAAGCTTCAACATTCCTACCCTGTAATTATCCCTGCCAGCTTTACTACCTTGGAGGAAAGAAATAACCACGGGTGGGGCTGGAGGGCCTGCTGATGTGCTTGCACTGGGGAGAAATCACTAGAAAGGAAGGCATGGATGGGATTTGGGGTAGGGGGGTGGTGATACAGCCTGGAAGGCTGGGGTTGAAGAGACTGGGAAGGAGGAAGGCCCATCTGGGGAATCAGAGCCAGCATGTACCAGGAGGAGTAAGACTAGGAACAGGGAGTGAAGATAGGGGAGACACAGGTGCCCAGGAGAGCAGCTCTTTTCAAAAATATTGATCTCAGGACCTCTTTACACTTTTCAAAGTTACTTAAGACTCTGAAGAGCTTTTCTTTATGAGGTTATATCAATATTTACTACATTAAAAATTAAAACAGAAAATTTAAAGTAGGTATTTATTGATTTATTTAAACAATAAAAATAATAAAGTATTACATGCTAACAAAATACAGTTTTGTGAAAAATAACTATTATTTCTCCACAGCACAGTGAGAAGCTGAGCATTGCTTTACATTTTTGTGAATCTAGTGTCAGGCTTCGTGGGAGATGCCTGGGTTTTCCTATCTGCTTCTGCATTCAGTCTGTTGGGATATGTTGTTTTCGTTGAAGTCCAGTATATGAAGAAAATCTGACCTTACACAGATAGTTGCAAAAGGAGGACCCTCAAGGACCCTGTGAAAGGGTATCAGGGATCCTCAGGGGTTCTTGTTGGTCCACAGACTGCTGCTGAGGATAAAGGAGTTTGAGGACTCCAGAGGATGCTGAGAGCATGCTGTGGGGCCCCTCCCTGTCCCCACTGGGGCCCTTGGTGCCTGCTGGGGGAGACTCTTTCTTCCTTTTTTATAGCCCTATAAAGCTCAAGGCACGGGGGATATAAGGCAGGCAGAGCCGGGCTGGGGAGGGGGGTGGGCAGGAGGTAGAGGCGGTCCTGACACGGGCAGACTGCGATGAAACCCCAGTTTGTTGGGATCTTGCTCAGCTCCCTGCTAGGGGCTGCCTTGGGTAAGGAGGCGGCCAGCTAGCTTCTCACACAGGCCTTCTGCCAGCCGGCTCCACCGAGGGCCCAGGTCCAGCGCCTCTTTTCTCCTGCCAGGAAACCGAATGCGGTGCTACAACTGTGGTGGAAGCCCCAGCAGTTCTTGCAAAGAGGCCGTGACCACCTGTGGCGAGGGCAGACCCCAGCCAGGCCTGGAACAGATCAAGCTACCTGGAAACCGTGAGTCCTCAGTTTCTCCCTCTTCCAGCAGCCTTTCCCTGCCTCCAGCCCCATGTCAATCCTTCTGGCTTCCAGAACCCTCCAGGCTCAGTCTGGCTCTGGGCAGATGGTGCAGCTGTTAGAGGAGAGCAGTCTGTACCCCTTCTGGCTCCTGGCACGGAGCCCCTGAGAGGCCCACAGTCCTTGTGCCCCCACTTCCCCACCTCCTTATTCTCCTAAAAGAATCTCATAGGCCCATTAGCTCACAAATGAAGAGCTCTGGCCCTGAAAGGCCAAAGTTAAAACCAAACTTCAAATTTTCGGCATTAGTTAAGGACCAGGGAGGGGTGTGTGTGTGTGTGTGTGTGTGTGTGTGTGTGTGTGTGTACATGTTTTTAATATTTTATTTTAACATAATTTTGGATTGACAGAAAAGTTGCAGAAATACTCAACTTCTCCTAATGCTAACATCTTACATAACCATAGCACAATTATCAAAATCACAAAATAACTGATACAATACTACTAACTAATCTACAGACTTTATTTGATTTAGCAAGATCCTACATTGCATTTAGCTCTCATGTCTTCTTAGTCTCCTCTGATCTGTGCCAGTTCTGTTTTTCTTTGTCTTTCATGACCCTGACACATTTGAAGAGCCCTGATAAATTATTTTATACCTGGAGTTTAAAAAATTACTTTTAGGGCCAGTGCAGTCACTCGCACCTGTAATCCCAGCACTTTAGGAGGCCAAGGTGGGAGGACCACTTGAGCCCAAGAGTTGAGACCAGCCTGGGCAACATAGGGAGACCCTGTCTCTACAAAAAACAAACAAACAAACAAACAAACAGATTAAAAAATTAGTTGGGTGTGGTGGCACATGCTTGTAGTCCTAGCTACTCAGGGGGCTGAAGAGGGAGGATCGCTTGAGCCTGGGAGATTGAAGCTACAATGAGCCATGATCACGCCACTACACTCCAGCCTGGGGAACAAAATGAGAACCTGTCTCAAAAATAATAATAATAATAATTTTTAGGCTAGGCTTGGTGGCACACACTTGTAATCCCAGCACTTTGGGAGGCCAAGGCTGAAGAGTCACCTGAGGTCAGGAGTTTGACACCAGCCTGGGCAGCAAAGTGAGACCCCCATCTCTACAAAAAATGTTTTTAAAAAATTAGCCAGGCATAGTGGCACACACCTGTAATCTCAGTTTCCTGAGAGGCTGAGGCAGGAGGATTACTTGAGCCCAGGAGTTTGAGGCTATAGGGAGGTATGATTGCACCACCACACTCCAGCCTGAGTGAGAGAGCAAGATCTTTTCTCTAAAATTAAATAAAATCATTTTTAGATTAAACAAAAATTACGTGCCGGATGCAGTGGCTCACGCCTGTAATCCCAGCACTTTGGGAGGCCAAGGCGGGTGGATAACCTGAGGTCGGGAGTTCAAGACCAGCCTGATCAATGTGGAGAAATCTCGTCTCTACTAAAAATACAAAATTAGCCGGGTGTAGTGGTGCCCGCCTGTAATACCAGCTACTCGGGAACCTGAGGCAGGAGAATTGCTTGAACCCAAGAGGTGGAGGTCGCGGTGAGCCGAGATCACACCATTGCACTCCAGCTGGGCAATAAGAGTGAAACTCCGTCTCAAAAAAAAAAAAAAAATTACAGATACTTGAAATACTAAAAATTATTTTATAGAATGTCCCTCGATATTTATTTATCTGATATTTGCCATGATGAGATTGAGGTCATGCATTTTAAGCAAGAATACTGCAGAAGTGATGTTGCATCCTTCTTGCTGCATCACATCAGGAGTTTACAAGGTCAATGCATTAACTTTGATCACTTGGTTTCAGGGAGGTGTTTTTTGAGGGGGCTGAAAATCCCTTTGGGCTCCTTGAAATCACATCTGCTCTGCCCCAGAAGGCAAGTCCTGAAGCCAGGAGTCCAACACCCCAGTTTCATTCTCTCTCTCAGCCCCAGTGACCTTGATTCACCAACATCCAGCCTGCGTCGCAGCCCATCATTGCAATCAAGTGGAGACAGAGTCGGTGGGAGACGTGACTTATCCAGCCCACAGGGACTGCTACCTGGGAGACCTGTGCAACAGCGCCGTGGCAAGCCATGTGGCCCCTGCAGGCATTTTGGCTGCAGCAGCTACCGCCCTGACCTGTCTCTTGCCAGGACTGTGGAGCGGATAGGGGGAGTAGGAGTAGAGAAGGGAACAAGGGAGCAAGGGAACAAGGGACATCTGAACATCTAATGTGAGAAGAGAAACATCCTTCTGTGAGTCATTAAAATCTATGAACCACTCTACAGCTGACTGGAAAATTACATCTATCTTTGGTTGATGGGAGGGCTAAAAGCGTAATATGGGGCATCCAGGTTCTAGTTTGGGGGTTACCAAGCAACAGCGGGCTTAATTACAGTGGTGCACTCCTTAACCAACTAAACCCCAAAGGGCAATGGCTTATCTGCCTTCTGTGGCTCCTGGATCCTGTTGCTGGGTTGAATCTTCCTTAGCAATGAGATTCATTGAGTGGGGTTGCCAGGGTTTTGTGAGCCTGAGTCTGGGTTTGCTCCCCTATTTCCCATTTGCAAGTTGGCTCCCAATAGGACTATTTTGAATTGAGAAAAGAAATGTAAAAACTGTGATAGGTAAAAACTGCTTGATGCCCTACTTACTAACTAGGCTAGGTGAGGCCTTTGACTCTAACCTGAGAGAAACTGAAGAAACAGGGTCTCAGGCCCCATCTCCATGTACCTCTCCTATCCTTTCTGGAGAGCCCTCAAGCCAGGCCGCACCTTCTTCTTGGCAATACATCAGGGGTGTGGCCTAAATTTAGGATATGAGTTGTTGTGTGCCACCTGGAGACACTGGAAGGGAGGATGAAGACCTGAAAAACCTGTTTCTCCATTTTCCCCAGCCCAGCCTCCCAGGGAACCTCCCTGAAGGATTCCTGTGTAAGGGAGGGAGATTGAGAGTATTATTTCCTGGGAGGTGACCTGACCCTTAGGTCTTCTTATAATAAATGTACATTTTATCAGACTCAGACATTTATTACTCAAAATGGAAAGAGGTGAGTATGGGGGATGGGGTACATATGGGAGCCTGGGTTTGGGGAGTCAGCTCTGTACAGTGAGGTCATCAGGTCCTTGTGGGAGCCTTCACTGGGGACAACACAGAAGCCCCATTTCAGGCCCAGATCCCAATCCCTCCTCAAGTAGGGGACAGCAGAGTATAGGAAGCAAAGTGGGGAGCCCTTCTAGGAGCCAATGGAGGTCCTGGAAGGAAGTGGGAAGGGACCCAGAAAAAGGAGAGTGAAGGGTGTGAGGTGGGAAGGATGGATGAGGAGACCACTCGGAACAGTGTTTAATTAAAGAAATGGGAGCTAGGGAGAGACGATTCTGTAAAGCCAGGGGATACAGAGACACAGGGAGAGAGGCTCAGGCCAAGGCAGGTGGGAGGAGGGGCAGCCAATGGAATGAGTCTCAGTGCAGCAGCCAGAGGCCAAGGCCAGCCAAGGAGGTAAGGAAGACAAGGCCCAGGGCTGGAGTGGGCCGGGGTCCTGCGCTGTTGCAGTTGTCCTTGTTGCAGCAGGTGGTGTTATATGTCAGACCCAGCTTGCGGTTGGTTTGGTTGAAGGCCTCCTGACAGGGCTCTTCTGGTGTGCCACAGCGCAGATTGGAGAAAACCCACATCTTACCTAGGGGTGGGAATGGGCAGGGAATCGGCCAGGATGGGCACCTGGCATGCCTGTGTCCACCTCCCCACCCCATCCACCCACCTAGGCTTCCTTCCTTCCCAACTCTGTCCCTGGCCCTCCCCTTCTCTTTTCTTAGTCTGATCTTCCTTCTGCACATCCTTACCCACCACTCCCCCAGTCCTGGTTCTATCACTTGCTGGCCATGGACCTGTTACTGTCTCTGTTTTTTGTTTTTTTGTTTTTTCCAAGACAGAGTCTCACTCTCGCCCAGGCTGGAGTGCAGTGGTGCCATCTCAGCTCACTGCAACCTCCGCCTCCCAGGTTCAAGCGATTCTCCTGCCTCAGCCTCCCGAGTAGCTGGGATTACAGGCGCCCACTACCATGCCTGGCTAATTTTTGTATATTTAGTAGAAATGGGGTTTCACCATGTTGGCCAGGCTGGTCTTGAACTCCTGACCTCAAGTGATCCAACCACCTTGGCCTCCCAAAGTGCTGGGATTACAGGCATGAGCCACCATGCCCGGCTGTGTTACTGTCTCTTTTTGAGGCCGTTTTCTCAGTATAATAATAGCACCCACATCACAGGGTTGTCATGAACATTAATTGAAAAAAAGGCATGCAAAGACATAGGATGTTGCCTGGCACACAACCATCTTTGGCCAAATATTATCATTGCTATAATCCTCTGCTTCTCCATCTCAGTCTTAGACCCATTTGGGCCTCAGTCCTGGTCATAGAGGCTCCCACCTCCCTGTTCACCCCACTAAGGAAGGGGATGTTACCAAGGTATGCATGTGTTGTCAGGCATTGCTGTCCTGGCTCCAGGCGGCAGGACTGCCGGTCCACACAGCCCAGCACAGGGACCTTGTAGCAGGAGTGACAGCGAATGTCAGCTGGGAAGACACAAGTCAGGCTGAGGTGATGGGGTCTCTGACTTACCTGGGGATAAGCTGAGCTGGGGGCAGGGGTGGAGGGTGGAGAAGAGCCCATCCCGTAGGTGCTCCAACCTGTTTGGCTGTTTGGTCTAGCAAGCACAGAGCAGGTGAGTGATGCAGGGAAAATGGAAAGTGGGCGGCAGGTAAGGGTAGAGCTGTTGCTTTGTGAAAGGCCCACGCCCTACATATCTTCCATCACTCCACCCCGTTTGGAGGTGAGTCAAGAGGGACAGAACTATGAAGAAAAACATGGGGCTGGAGATAGATGGAATGTGAGGAAGATACCATGGGGAAAGAATGTGGATGGTGAAGGAGGAGATGGAAACTTGAAAGAAGGAGAAATAATAAAAATGAAAATCATGAGGGTTACAACACTGTCAGAAATGCCTTGGAACTTGAGGCTGGCGAGAAAGCCATCTGTGGCCAGCTTTAGCAATTTACAATTTACTCTTCACCTCCTGGAGCTGGCAAGAGTGTGGCAAGAGGAACCAGACCTGAATAGAATCCTCTCACCCCAGTAGCTCTTCAGCAGAAAGGAATGATACCTGAGAGACAGATCACCAGATTCCATCTTAGCACCTTATCAAAATGGAGAGGGTGGATACAGAAGGTGGCACCCCAAGTTTCCTGCTTCAGTTAATTCAAGGTTTGGGCAGGCAAGATTTGGTGACGCAGGGTCCGAGGGTGGAAGAGCCTGGTAAGTGTACCTCAGTGAAATCCACTTCACCCTGGAGGTAAGTGGCCCAGTTGTCCCCTCTTCAGAAGGCTCAAGAAAACGCTCTGTTTCCATGGAGGCTCTTAGATGTCACTGCAACCATCTAGAAAGTTTGTATCCCCTGTATGGGAGGAGGTATGCAACCCAGGAGGGGAGTAGGGGGTATCTAGGAAAGGCCATGGCTGAGAGACTGAACATGTGAGTCCCTGATGGAGTAGATGGGGAGGGTAGGTTACAAAAGGAGCCTGGGGCTGGATGCCTAGGTCTTCGAGAGGACACCTTACTGAGCACAGCAGATAGAGGAGAAGGCAGGTAAGCTAGACTCTGGAGAGTTGCATATTGAAGTGGGGCTGGTTGGGGAACTGGATACCAGAGTTTCCAAGGAGGAGACACCTTGGAGTGGGGAACAGGGGACCCAGAGCCCTGGCAGGTGAGAGAAATGGGTCTTTCTTGGAGGTGGGGAGGATGGATGGAGACCTGGCTTTTTGAGAAATAGAGCAAGGAGGCTGTCATAGGGAAGCCTGGTCTTGGTGGCACAGGAGAGCTGAGCCAGTTGGGGCTGGGGGTGTTGGGATCCCGAGTGGTGGGTAGGGCCGGGAAGTGGGTAGAGCAGGGTGTAAAGGTCCTGACCAGGCAAACCAGGTCTTTGGGGCCCCCAGGTGCTCACCTGAGACCCAGCAGAGCAGAACAGACAGGGTGAGCAGCATAAGGGCTTTCATGGCGAGGGTCCTGAGAATGGTGGCAACCACAGCAGCTGATAGAGTAGATTTTCAAGGATCCAGCTCTAGGAGTTGAGTGGCCTTTTTGGAATTTATAAACCCAAAGGCTCCTCCCTTCCCTGCCTCTGGTAGCCCCTCCCTTCTCACTTACTACGCAGCTGACCAGAGAAAAGACAAGGGGTGGGAAGGCACTGAGCAGGACTGAGTGGGGAGTAGGGATGGGAGAGAGGGATGGGGGAAGGCAGGTGCCACTAGTGGCCAATGCCATTGTGGTTCTTGGTTTCAGGCCAAGATGCCCTTCCTGGTCCCCAGCTAAGAGTCCTGCTGCTCAGTCCTCTGAATGAGCATCATCAAAGGCCTCTGTGATTTACAGTGTCCATGGTGGCAGCTTCTGCTGGTTCCTGGAAAATGGACAAAAGGATGTGGCCCAAATTAATTGCTGAATTTGGGTCCCTGGGTCCCTGCTGGGCATTGATAGGGGCATGCTGGTGGAAATTGGGGGAGGAATGGGTCAAATTAATCTCCATTCAGCCCCCACTCGGTCTTTCCAATGCCTGCTCAGCAATAAGTGACTCACTGATGGCTTCTGTGATGCCACAGCAGCAGAGGCAGGGGCTGGGGCTACTCATCCAGGAGAGCCACCACAGGTCTGCTAAGTAGGGCTGCCTCAGGCTCCCATGAAGGTTCTCAGGATGTCACCCGTGCTCCACTTGCGCTTGGTGTGGCCTTGTTGCTCCAGTCCAGCAGCAGCAATTGTCCTAGGTGTGGCTGTGTGCACCTGCTCCAAAGCACCTCCCCAGTCAAAACCTGCCAACTTGGGCAGGGTACCAAGCCAGGAGGAACAGCATGGGCACAGAGAGGTGAGGTAGAAGCTAAAATAAGAATAGAAATAGTAGGCCGGGTGTGGTGGCTCACACCTGTAATCTCAGCACTTTGGGAGGCCGAGGTGGGTGGATCACAAGGTCAAGAGATCGAGACCATCCTGGCCAACATGGTGAAACCCCATCTCTACTGAAAATACAAAAATTAGTCAGGTGTGGTGGCATGCACCTGTAGTTCCAGCTACTCAGGAGGCTGAGACAGGAGACTCACTTGAATCCAGGAGCCGGAGGCTGCAGTGAGTCGAGATTGCACTCCAGCCTGGCCACAGAGCAAGACTCTGACTCAAAAAAAAAAAAAAAAAAAAGAATAGAAATAGTAATAATAATGGCAAGCACTTACATAGTGATCCTATGTATTCTAAGCAGTTTACATGTATTACTTTATTTCGTTATCACAATCCCCTACAAAACAGGAGTTTTTGTTGTTGTTGTTTTTGAGACAGGGTCTGGCTGGCTCTGTCGCCCAGGCTGGAGTGCAATGGCCTGATCACAGTTCACTGCAACCTCGACCTCCTGAGCTCAAGCGATCCTCCCTCCTCAGCCTCCTAAGTAGCTGGGATTACAGGCGCACCTGAAAAGTTAAGCAGGCCAAAGCATTTGTGTAAATGGCCCGAGCACACATTTTAAGTGAGAACCATTTGAAGACTCCGAGTTTGCCTGCGAGGATTCCCAAAGGGATCTGGGCAGCTGGTGGCCCCGCCCCCTCTCTTATCGGAGCCCCCCAGCCCCTCCGTTCTCCCCACGCCTAACTTCCCTCCGGTCCCCCCCCAACCGGCCCCACGCCGCTGATTCGCTCGCAGCTTCTCCTCACCACATCCTAACCATGGCTGTGTTTCTGCAGCTGCTACCGCTGCTGCTCTCGAGGGCCCAAGGGAACCCTGGGGGTAAGCGATCCCTGGGAGAGTTGTGATAGACGCAGAGGGGCTGAAGCAAGATAAGGGCCGCCTAGTAGGGTGGGTTGTGTGTGGGAAGATCCAGGATGGCTGGAGTGCAGAACAGAGAAGAGAAAGAGGAGACGGGATGGAGGGTCGTCTTGCCCTGTGGACGTGCCCTAACCACAGCCTCCGGCCTCTCCTAGCTTCTCTGGACGGCCGCCCTGGGGACCGGGTGAATCTCTCCTGCGGAGGAGTCTCTCATCCCATCCGCTGGGTCTGGGCACCCAGCTTCCCGGCCTGCAAGGGCCTGTCCAAAGGACGCCGACCGATCCTGTGGGCCTCTTCGAGCGGGACCCCCACCGTGCCTCCCCTCCAGCCTTTCGTCGGCCGCCTACGCTCCCTGGACTCTGGTATCCGGCGGCTGGAGCTCCTCTTGAGCGCGGGGGACTCGGGCACTTTTTTCTGCAAGGGCCGCCACGAGGACGAGAGCCGTACAGTGCTTCACGTGCTGGGGGACAGGACCTATTGCAAGGCCCCCGGGCCTACCCATGGTAGGTGCAGGCCTGTGCGCACAAGGGTACTTAACTCCGACACATACCCGGAGGAGGGAAGAGGGCCTTGGCTGGGGGTTCTTGAGCGGGACTGCTGGCTGTCCCTCGTCAAACCCCTGACCTCAGCATCCCTCCCCGCCACGCCTTTCCCCCAGGGTCCGTGTATCCCCAGCTCCTGATCCCGCTGCTGGGCGCTGGGTTGGTGCTCGGACTGGGAGCTTTGGGCCTGGTCTGGTGGCTGCACAGGTGAGCAGGAGGGACCCGGCCTCGTTAAATGGGGAGTGACCAGAGGTGGAAGGGGCAGGACCAGAACCTTCGCAAAAGAAAGAGCTAGACCTAGAGCTCTGGTCCTGGCTTGGCGAAGAATGGGAGAGGTCAAAGGTGGGAGCGAGGCCGCTGACTGGTGAGTAGAGCCCCACCAGAGCAGATGAGCTGGAAGTGCAGCAGAGTTAGAGCCTGGGCTGGACTGTCGGTGGGGTAGAGTCTAAGTTGTTTCCGGTCTGAGCCTTCAAGTTGCTGGGCTGTCCTTGGCGTGGCGAGTCCCAGGAGAACCAGTGAGACAAGACTGGTGGTTCTCAAAGACTCATATGTCCCTTACAGGCGCCTGCCCCCGCAACCGATTCGACCACTCCCTAGATTTGGTGAGACTAATTCCACCCCATTTTCTTTCTCCTACATGCCCACTCCCCACCCCTCAATTCCTGAGTCTGAGCCCTTGCTGGGAGCAGACACGTTGGTCACCTTCTCTCCATCCTTCAGCTCTGTCCCCCCCACATAGCTCCACTTGTGAAAACCGAGCCCCAGAGGCCAGTAAAGGAGGAAGAGCCCAAGATTCCAGGGGACCTGGACCAGGAACCGGTAAGGGCATGGGGATGGGAAGGGGATAGCCAGAATCTCTGAGGAAAATGGACCAAAAAAAAAAAGGCCTGAACCCCAAGGAAGACTGTGGAGACCATCTTGTCTTCCTCCCCTTCCTCCTCCAGAGCCTGCTCTATGCGGATCTGGACCATCTAGCCCTCAGCAGGCCCCGCCGGCTGTCCACAGCGGACCCTGCTGATGCCTCCACCATCTATGCAGTTGTAGTTTGAAGGGAAGCCCTTACTCCAAACCTCCCAAGCTAGGGGATCCCAGCTCCCCATAATCCCTCTCCCCTCCTTGGTTCCTCACCTGGAAGAGGAAGGCACCATGGTATAGAAATAAGTGCTAGACTGGGAGTTGGGAGACCTGGGTTCCAGGCTGTCTCTGCCACTGGTCTTACTTCTAAACTTACTCCCATCTCTCCTATAACCTCCATGTCTCCCTCACCACCAGTGTCCTCTCTATACCCAATCAAGCCCTAGCTCCTTTTTTTTTTTTTTTTGAGACGGAGTCTCGCTCTGTTGCCCAGGCTGGAGTGCAGTGACACCATCTCCCTCACTGCAAGCTCCGCCTGCCGGGTTCACACCATTCTCCTGCCTCAGGCTCCTGAGTAGCTGGGACTACAGGCGCCCGCCACCACGCCCAGCTAATTTTTTGTATTTTTAGTAGAGACGGGGTTTCACTGTGTTAGCCAGGATGGTCTTGATCTGCTAACCTCGTGATCCACCCGCCCCGGCCTCCCAAAGTGCTAGGATTACAGGTGTGAGCCACCGCGCCCGGCCTGATTCTTTAAGCTGTTTTTCTTTGTTGCTGGTGTTTTCTTTTTGGACTCCTCTTCCTTGCTCCATATCCCTACAGTATTTCCCACCATTCTAGGTTTGTCCCTTTCTCTTCTTCTGGGACACTCTCATCAACAGTCAGTCCTCAGCCCCCTCCTCTGCAAATGACACTCAGAACTCTCTCTGGCTCAGATCTCAGATTTGGGATTAACAAACTTCCACTTAGACATTCTGCCTGACTGACCTCAGGCATTTCGCACTCTGAATGTCAAACCCAACTCATTGTCATCTCTGAAGCTGCTCACTTAATTCTCCTCTGTATTCTCTTTAACAACCCAGTTGCCCAACCCAGAAACTGGGAGTCACGCAGACCTCCTTTCTCTCTTACTCCCACACAATGAGCCATGAAGTCCAGTCTTTCTATCTTAACATCACTGTCAAACCCACACTGTATTCCATGCCCAGCGCTGCCACGTGAATGTACTCTGCTCACTTCCTTCCTGGATTACCCATAGCCCCACCTCATCCTCCTACCCTTGCTTTCCTCCCTGAAGTCAGAGAGATCCTACTCAAGAGATAACTGCTCCTGACAGCCCTTATTACAGAACTGAAGTACTCTCCTTAGCTTCAGCTCTGTGCCCACGTGCCTTGGCTTTGGATACAAGGTACTACAGCACTTTGTCCACTCTCCAGGCTTACCTGTGTCATTCCACATGCACATCTTAGAAAATGCCAGCCTTAGAGAATTCTCCCTAGCCCCAAAATGTCTTTGCCCAGTGCAATTCCTTCTTCCTGTATTACCCCTTTCCCTCCTTCACACTATCTGCCTGGCTAATTCTTATTTATCCTTAGTTCAAGTATGGCCTTTTCTGGGAAGGTGACCCTCCTTGGCCACCCCTTGCATATACTTTGATGCCCTAGGGCACACCCCCTTTATTTCCCTCATAGAAACAGCCTTCTGTAAATTGTTCCATGACAACCTGTATTTCAATTTGTAAGAAATTTGCATGTACTGTGAGCTCCCCAACGTCAGGAGACTGACCCTTTTGATATCATTGCTAAGCCTCATTAAATGAATGAATGAAAATGAATGTCCCTGGAAGTGTCATTTCTTTTTCTTTATCAAATAGGGGTGGACTGGTAATCTACCAGTCTCTGAATCATCTAACATTTAGATAAATTCAGTGAGCAATCCACCCATACACTCTTTTCTCTGCCCTGGACACACTTCCCATGATAGAAATTCTGTCTTGTTCATCTTGTGCTCAAGTACCTATGACATGGTTGGGCAATGAGTTGATAAGTACCTAACAAGATTTTTGAATAAGAGGCCTTCTTCCCTGCACTGACCCCAAACTCAGGTTTCAGCCTGCCCTATCCCTTTGCCCCAGTAAGACACCAGTCACAGCCCAGTCTAAAAGGTCAATTCTATTTTATTGGTTCTGAGAGGGAGGATTCACCCAGTGGATCCTTTTCCCTACACTCTCCCCTCCCCCAATATTGAGGCTCTCTCCCAACTACTGCCTATTCAGCATTCTCTATCTAACCCTCCTTCCCCTTCTACTTCCTATACTATCCTACCCCTGGCCAGCAGTACCCCAAGGCCAGGCCCTCAGCTGTGGGGGCGTGTGCTGAGCACCAAGCAGAGGGAGCTGAGCCCGGCGCCAGCCTTCTCCAGTTCTGAGCAGGACACAGGTACCAGGGTGACATCAGAGAGCTTCTGCAGTGCCTGCACAGGGAAGACATGGAGTGGGGAGAGGGGAGTGAGACCTCAGGCTGAGCCAGGCCACTCTTCCAGCCAGCTCAGAGTGGCCCCACCCAGGCTTCTAGAGAAGGTACCCTTCCTTCCTCCCACTAGGAAAGCCTGAAACTCTTTTCTCTGATGGTGCTTGGTGTTGGAGTTCCTGCCCTCTCTCACCTCCTGGCTGTTGGGCAGATCCCCACCTCCACGGTGCAGGAGGAAAGGGGGCACACCAGGCAACCCAGGACGAAGAAAGAGACAGTCAGCAGCTGCGTCATCTGGGAGGGTCAGGGAGGCATATGGGTGATCTGTCAGCACTGCCATTGCCTAGAGGAAAGAGGAAGTGTTCGAGTCTCAGAACCTCTCCACAGCTGTGTCTGCCTGCTCAACCACCACTAAGGGCTGGGGACGGACTGACATTTGTGGAAAATAATGACAGCAAGCACATAGAGCTTACGATATGTCAGACACTAAGTACTTTAGTTACCTTTGCTAATTTCCACCTTGGAATCACATGCAGTTATTTTCAACCCCCTACCTTCCCCAGCCCCTCCTATCTGTCCTACCCATCCTTAGAGTCACAGTTTAGGTGCCACCTTTGGGGTTTCCTGAAACTCCGGAAGAGCAAATTAATCACCCCTGTTCCCAGTCCTGCTGTTGTAACTTCTTATTTTCTCCTGTGTTCTTTCATGTAAGATGGACAGCCCATTGAGGGCAGGGGTTAGGGCTAATTTCCTAAGCCTCCCAGCTCCCGGCCTCCCGGGCCCAGAACTGCGCCCACTTTCGTTGGCCCCGCCCCCTCCTCACCCGGACAGCCTTTTGGGCAGCGTCGCTGCTGCCTGCCACAACAGTGCGAGGTCCCCCCATGCCGCAGAGACCGCGCAGGTGGGAGGGACCCGAGACTGGCACAGTGGAGACGGCGAAGTCCTAGGGAGAGCGAAGGGAGGTATTCAGGGGCGCGGGAGGGGTGATGGGGTATCTTCAAACATAGGCTGCTCTCTGCCTCTCATTTCCTCAGCGGGCGCCCAGGCCCTTCCGACCCCCACCTGCACCCCCTCCCTCCCTAGGCTGGTCCCGCTCCGCACCCGGAACGTGTCCGCCACGATCTCAGCTCCTCGGTGATTGGTCCATTTGGAGAGGCCTACGAAAAACTCCCGGCCTGAGTCCGGGAGGCCGCGGAGGTTTGAGGGCGGGAGTGAGTTAGAAACAAGGCTCCAGACGGCCGAGTCTCCCAAACTCTACTTCCCTGTGCCAAGACCTATGCCTCCCCCCAGCCTCACCGGTGAAGAGAACGTCAGTGCCATCCAGCGTCGCGTTCTCGTCTCCTATTTCCACAATTCGGAGCCCCAGGTCTTGCAGGGCTTTGCGGACTCCATCGACCTTAGGATAGGAGAAGAGGGCACGGAGCTGTGACACCCCCATCCTCAATTCTTCCCCAAAGCCCCGACATCCAGTTCCTTCTGCCTTTCCCCATACCACACCCGCGCCACGGCGCTCACCTCTGGCCTACGAGCGGGGCTCCAGGGCCGCGTGATTAGGGCCGTGTCCCCTTGGATCACGGCCGTGTCGCCAAGCAGCGGTCCCAGCGGCAATGACTCCTCAGGTGGCAGTTCTAGCAGCTGTAGCCCCAGTCGTTGCCTCAGTTTACCTCCCAGCACCCCGTGCTCCCTTTGAGCTTTGGCCAGATCCAGAGCGGGAAGGCCAGCCCCCGCACCTTCCCCCGACGCCAGGCTCTCTGGGACTCCCCGGATCAGGGCATGGGAGCAGCGGCCCAGCCCCTCCCCCGGCGTCCCCATCCCATCCACACAGACTCCCCCTCCAACCGCTCGGATTTCTTAGTTTTCTTGTTTCTTCACCTGTCTGGGAGAAGAAACAGAAAAGGAGGAGACAGAGAAAAAGACATGCAGACAAGGGCGTTGGGGGTGGTTAAGAGCGCCCAGGTCTTCCTCCTGCCATCTCTAGGCGTCCCTCCCACTCCGCCCCACCCACTCCAGACCTTCCGCTCCTGTCGACCTCACTCTACCCAGCACCCTCAGGGGTCAGATTCTTTAAGAGGAGCCTGAGGAACAAGGCTAGGGTCTCTAATCTCCAAAACACCTGTTGCCCCTGCTTGGGGGCTTGTGAGGTCCCTGTCGGGCGCCCCTCTTGGCAGCCACTAGGATGCGCTCACTCCCCAAAAATGCAGCAGCCCCGCCCCCTTAACCCTCAGCTGCTCGCTACCGCAGGGACTGGAAGTCCAGCCCGCGACCCGCAGGGGTTATGGGACAGAAGGAGAAAGCTGGAGAGGCAGGGGCTGGGGAATGGAAGTCCTGAATACCCGAACGAGAAGGGAGAGAGGTGGGTAGGAAGGGAGGAGTTCGAGCCTAAGGAGTTAAGCATCCTCTCTCCGCCCTGGCTGGTCACGCTGCCCCTAGCGCGACCTAGTATAAACCAGACCGAGTCCCGAAGGACTGGGAGAGGTCTAAAACGAAATGCGAGGGGCGGGGTAACAGGGGGCGTGGTTCCGGGGCGCTGGCACTACTCCCGGCTCCAGGACCCGGTTCCCCGTCTATGTCCCAAAGTCCACCCCGCCTAGCTCCGCGCCCAAATACCGGCTCCCCATACTCTCTGTCTGGTGCAGGCATGGGCCCGGCACCCCCAAACTCCGGCCCCCACACGGTTCAGGGCCCCCCACGCAAGACTCACCTCCAGCGGCCACCCCCACTCCTGTCGCGCTGTGATCTCGGCTGGGGCCCCACCCCCCGAGGACAGAGTTGGTGGAGAAGGGAGTCCCCGTCTTCAAGCCTCGGGGACTGGGAGCTCTGGCTTTTAGCGGGGGTCCTTGTGTAGGCGAGCTCATATACTACGATGGGGCAGGGGCGCGACGGTCTGGCGGCTCCGGGGCATTGTCTAAGCGGGACGGGGCGGGGCTTCTTCGGGCCACGCCCATTCCGCCCTGCTAAGCCTCGCCCATTACATCCAGACTGCGCCCCCCTTGCCAGAAATCGGCACCGCCCAGCGAGCGCTGCCCAGGCCCACCCAGATCTGGCCGGCCCTGGCGACGGGGCTGCAAACGCTTCGTAGACCTCAGAACAGCGCAACGGCGGACCGGCGGACCGGCACGAAACATAGCAGCCCCACCACAAACATTTCCCTTCTTAATTCCTGGCTTCTGCCCTGAGCTCAAGATCACTGACCCACCCCTCATTCCATGTCGCCCACACTTTAAATCCCCATTGCGTAAAAACACTTGATTTTTATTCTGTATTTTATTACTGAAATATGTTGTCCTACTCATCCCACCCCACAATAAAAATCTGACCCAGGCCCCCCATTTCTTTCCCTCATCCCCTCTTCCACCACACCATCCCGGAACAAGTGCTCCAGGATTCCCTGCCCACTGGCCATTTTGGAGTGTGTCCATTGGGTAGCAATGTGGAAACCACCAGGGCCTTTGTGGAGAAAATGGAGGGGGTTGAGGGAGTCCCAGGAGGGGCTTATTTGAGGGCCTTTGCCACTTGCTCATAGGCGAGCTCGATCTCCTCATCATCTGGACAGGTGGAAGCGAATTCTTCCCGGGCGTAGGCATTGCTCAAGTACCGATGCACTCCCCGGAAGGCCTCGGGGATGGTGAATCCCCGGTACTTCTTACACACCACCTGAGGATGGGGAGAGGAGAGGGACCAACATGTTAGACCCAGGGAAGCCACCTTGGCTTTCCCTTCTCCCCAGGCCGACATGATAAAACCAGCTCAACTCCTCACTGTCTTGTACTGTCGTTAGCCTTCCTTCTCACTTACTGAAATCCTGGCTTTTAATAACCAGCCATTTTTCCTGAGTTTTTAAAACTTGAGATATAATTTACTTATAAAATTCTCCTCTTGAATTTCCACAGTGACTTTTTCCCCCTATACCACTTCAGGCACTGACACAGGTGACTTTTGTCTCTATATTTTTCATCAGACTTTTTTTTTTTTGAGATGGAGTCTTGCTGTCACCCAGGCTGGAGTGCAATGGCGCGATCTTGGCTCACTGCAACCTCCGCCTCCCGGGTTCAAGTGATTCTCCTGCCTCAGCCTCCCAAATAGCTGTGATTACAGGTGCCCACCACCATGTGCGGCTAATTTTTGTAATTTTAGTAGAGATGGGGTTTCACCATGTTGGCCAGGCTGGTCTCGAACTCCTAACCTCAGGTGGTCCACCAGCCTTGGCCGCCCAAAGTGTTGGGATTATAGGCGTGAGCCACCACGCCCGGCCCATCTGACTTTTCATCATATATTCTTAACTTTCATGTGAATATTTTATTGTCTCAGATTTCAACCCTTTGAGAGCAAGGCCCAGTCACCATACACTTGTGTATCTTTCAATGCTTAGTACACAGATGTTCACTACATAGTTGTGTGGCAGACTGATGTCAGGCCCATGTTGCACAAACTAAACCATAGCTTTGAGACTATGACAAAAACATGGGAACCAGCAGTTTTGATCTTCCACAAGAGGAAGTGAAGACTGAAGTTATAAAGAAAGTTAAAGCTTTGACTTTAGGAAAAGCCTGCTCTGTCTAATCTGGGAATTTGGCAGTGATACCGAGACAGGAAGAGCATTCTTCAAAAGTAATACTGGGATGTATTCCTCTTTGCTAGTCTGTTTGCACCCATGACTTACATCATGGAATATAATTATCTCAAGCAGTGGTCTTGTTAGCAATGACTGCTGCAAAGGACTGGGGTGGGGTCTGCCATTGGTAGCAATTTATGAAAACCACCCTAAGAAAGAAATCGTCTTTAGAGTGGTTGTCAGGGGAAGCCCATGTGGGAGCTCCTTAAAGGGCCACTCCAGTGGTCATCCTCTCCTCCCGCAATAACCACACACCTGTACTATGTGTAACTTTGGCAACAGGTTGCAGTCAGCCAGGGTGAGCTCGTTGCCATCCAAAAACTTCCTCTGAGAGACACCTTCATCTTCAGCACTGGTTTCATCCACTTCTTCTGGGAGGGGGGATGTTAAGTAATTGTCTAAAACCTTCAGGGCTTTCAGGAGTCCCTTCTCCAGATCTGTGCAAGAGAGGGAACTGATTAGAACTTCAGGAAAAGATTGACATAGTCCGAAAAGGCCCGTTGGGGGTGGATACTAATGGTGAGTCCAAAATAATAATAGCTAACACTCATGTAGTTACTTTTCTATGTGTTATTCTAAGCACTTTACATTTTATTTTATGTTAGACGGAGTCTTGCTCCGTTGCCCAGGCTGGAGTGCAGTGGCATGATCCCGGCTCACTGCAACCTCTGCCTCCTAGATTCAAATGATTCTCCTGCCTCAGCCTCCTGAGTAGCTGGGATTACAGGTGCCTGCCACCACAACTGGCTAATTTTTGTATTTTTTTCAGTAGAGACCAGTCATGTTGGCCAGGCTGGTCTCCAACTCCTAACCTCAGGTGGTGCGCTAGCCTCGGCCTCCCAAAGTGAACACTTTACATTTTACAAACTCATTTATATCGCCGGGTGCAGTGGCTCACTCCTGTAATCCCAGCACTTTGGGAGGCCGAGGCAGGTGGATCACCTGAGGTCGGGAGTTCAAGACCAGCCTGGCCAACATGGTGAAACCCTGTCTCTACTAAAAATACAAAAATTAGCTGGGCGTGGTGATGCACGTCTGTAATCCCAGCTACTCAGGAGGCTGAGGCAGGAGAATTGCTTGAACCCGGCAGGCAGAGGTTGCAGTGAGCTGATTGCACCACTGCACTCCAGCCTGGGCGACAGAACGAGACTCCATCTCAAAAAAAAAGAAAAAAAAAAATTTATATCAACCCATGAAATAGGTATTGTCATCCTAATTTTGTGGATCTGGAAATGGACTTACAGAGAGGTGAAATGATTGCTCAAAATTATACGGCTAGTTGGATTTGTACTCAGGTAGTCTGGATCTAGAGTGATGACTGTTCTTAAGCATGACCCTATTCTGCCAGAAAACAGGCCAGCAGCCAACTAACGTCCTCAGTGGGGCAGAAGAGGCTAGGGAACAAATGAGAAAAGCTTAAAAGTCTTGGCCAATGAAAATGCAGGGAAATATAGAGGTAAAGCAAAAATGGGAAGCTGGGGGAAATTTACGAACATCTGCTTCATCTCCCTGATATCTGAACGTCCAGGTGCCCCTAATGTCTCCTACCCGCTGGGTCCTCTCTATTCCTCCCAGGACCCAGGCCTCTGACCCACAAGACTCACTGTCATTGAGTGCTGGGTTTGAATTCTTGATGTAGGCAGAAAATTTGGCAAATATGTCCAGCCCAGCTGTGTTGGACTCAGGGTTCAGAGCTGCCAGCTTGGGGTACCTGAAAGCCAATGGGAAAAATGAGGTAAGATGTCTTCCTGGGAGGAACCTCAGCTAGCTCTCCTGCCCCAGCCCCACCACCATCTCTGTTTTCCATTTCTGCAAACTGTCTGTTTCCCAGAATCTCCCTGCTCCACCTCTCCACTTTCTGAGTGCCCCTATACCTGGGAGGGCACAGCACTGCCTCCAGAAATTCCTCAATCTTGTTGGTGTCTGTGTGCACTTCAGTGCCATACAGCAGGAATGGGAGCTGCCCCCCTGGGCACAGCTTCTGCACTGTCTCGGTCCGCCTGGAGAAAGGATCAGGAATCAGGACTGGAAATGGGGGTCAGGAAGAACCAGAAAGGGGGAATGGAGGACGTGGGATAAGAAAGGGACTCCAGGGGGAGGGCAAAAATGTTCATGACAGAAGGACTCGGGTGGGTGTGTGTTTGCACACATGTGTACACCAGGGGTGTTTCAAGGAACATAAGCAGGCCTACCTTTTGGTGTCAACGGTGGTAACATTGAAGGTGACTCCCTTGAGCCACAGTACCATGAACAGTCTCTGGGAGAATGGGCAGTTCCCAATCTTGGCCCCATCACTGCCAGCCTGAAAAGTAACCCCAACCCAAGGTTATGCCTGATGCACCCCACCCATCCCTAGGCCAGTCCCTGCATTCCCACTCCCAGACCAGCTGTTTTCTGCCTAGTCATGACACATACACTGTCCCCTCACTATGGGCTCTTTGCCCTTGGGCCTGGGTCAAACCTAAGGCAGATCAATGGGAAACTGTTTTGCAAAGGCAGGCTTCTGGTTCCCCAGACACTGAGGACAGGTGGGAGGTAGGTAGAGGGAGGAGGTCCTGGAGAACTTGGGAGGATCTGAATCCTAGAGAGGGAAGGGTGTGGAACTTCAGTGAGGCCAGAGTTGTAGGCTAGAAGCCTGGATTTCTGGGTTCCTGAAGGGAGTAGAGTCTGAAGACAGGAGAGGTGGGTGGGGTTTGGGAGCCAGAGTTTTGGTTCTCTACACCTCCAATCCAAGGTGTCTTTGGGTGGGGAGTCTAGTCAAGGGGCCCTGGGCCTCGCGCTAGAGATGTGGAGGGCCCTACAGAGAGGGGCTGCCCTCTAATTAGCAAGTGGTGACCTCATTGGCCCAAGGGACACCTCCCCCTAAGCTGAGGGTGATTCATCTCTCTGTCTCCGGCTTCCTTCCTGTCAAGGATGTGGGGGAAGGGACAGTGAGGATGAGGCCTGGGCAGCTAAGGCTACCCCTAACCTGCTGCCAGGGTCTCCCAGCACAAGTCCTCTGACTGCAATAACCATCCTCTCACAGGACACAGGGCCGGAATCTCTGCGGCACAGCCTCACCCACGAGTAAAAATAGCCCCGGAGGCGAATGTGAGAGTGAGGTGGGGACCACACCTAAGGGGGCGGACCCAAGCAGGCTCCGACTTCCCTGGGCCCAGGGAGAGGGAATGGCTGCCCGAGAAACCCAAGCAGAAGGGAGAGGGAGACACAGGCAGAGACACACAAAGATGAGAGAAACAAAAGGGGGGAAGGGGAAAGAAAGGCGGCAGGAAAGTGGAGAGTGGGGAGACGTGCGTGCCAACGGAGAGACACAAACGGAGCGGGGAGAAGAGGACACTGTTAAGGAAGGGAGGGAGGGGCACAGCCAGGAGGTCCCAAGACTGGGAAATGAATGCAGCAGCGGTAGGGAGGGGAGCGGCCGCTGCAATCAGAGGGGGGCTGGGTGACACCGAGAAGCCTGCTGCCTGCAGTTTTGCTACCCAAATGCCATAGGACCATCTCTCCTTACCCACACCCGCAGAGAGAGGAGAGAGTTGGGGCAAGTCTTCTACTTCTCCAACCCCCAAATCCCAAAATGCCCTAACCGAGCTCTTCTCCTCCGTCTGATCTCTCTCCCACCCATCCTTGTGGTAGCTACGTTAAACTCACGTCTTCTTGCCACCTCCCCTTCTGTCCCTTTCCCCAGTCCTGGGGATATTCAATGCCACCCGATCACCTCTCCAGCTCTGCTTTTCAAACTCCGATCCCAGTCTCCTGTTTTGTTCCGCCCCTCCAAAGCTTCCCAATTTACTTGCTCTCACTCTCAGGCCTCCCTCAACACACCGTCTTCCCTGAAGCGTCTCCATCCACACACACACACACACACACACACACACACACACACACACACACCTCTCCTACTGCACTACTCACCCTCAGATCTTGTAGGGACACATGTCCTAACTGAGGTTCCCCTCTGTCCCTTCTAAACCCTGCTGGGCCCCCACTGTCCCTTCACCAGCTCGCCCTCTAACCCCACCCCAGTCTCACTTTTGGGAATTCTCCTTTTTCTCCACTTCCCTTCCTTTAGTCTGCTAGAAACTTGCACTTTTACAAACTTTTCAGGGTTGATCCTAGAATTCTCATTACTTGCTAACAAGTTAATGTCTTCCCCTCTCAAAACCACCCCTCAACCAAAGAGTGCACGTGGGATTGGGGGTGGGAGTCAAGGAGGGAAGGGATTGGGGAGTTAAGGCTGGACCGGGGGAAAGGTGAGAGTTGGCTTCCAGGAATTTGGGTGGCTGAGGAGAGAAGTGTTCTTACCTTCACGAACAATTCGACCTGCGGTTGTTCTTCAGCCATGGTTGCGTCGGGGACCAGGAAGTGGCCGTCCCTGGGGGAACTGGGAGGGGCTGGGACCGGGGAAGGCGGGTCTCACACTCAGGGACTCTCTCCCCTAGACCCAGGGCTGTCCCTTCAGCACAACACAAGCTCAATCAGACCTACTTGCACCCAAACTAGGCCTCCCCACCAGCCCAACGCACCCCACACCCAGCTCCTCCAGCTCGGTCCTCTCCCGGGCTGGATCAGAGAGCCGCTGACTCACCGACCGGCCCCGCCCTGAACCTGGGGAGGGGACTGGAGGGGGGCGGGACTCGACGATGTAGGGAGTGAGTCCGGAAGGGGAATCCTCGGATCTCCCACAGGATGGGGATGGGGGTGTTAAGGAGGAGTCCTGAAAACCTCCTTGTTTCTCCGACCTCTCCTGAACACAGGACTCTTTTCTGCCTCAGTTTCCCTGCTTCATTAATCTGAGTACAACCCGACTGACCCTCATATAAAAAACTTGACACTAACAGCTTGGGCACACCCGTGAAGATTCAGGGATGGGGACTTCAAATGGAAAGGTGGTCGTTTAATCATTCTGCATTTCTTCCAGACTCCAATCCAAATTCTGGGTTGCTGGGACTGTGGTCTGAGAGAAGAACTCGGAAGTGGAAGGCTGGGACTGCAGATAGGAACCGTTAGCCATGCAGCCTGGGATTAGGGAAGGGGTGACGCCAGCACTCCCTGAGCTGCCCAGACTGGTGTCTCAGTAGGTCCTGTGCCCCCCGCAGTCTACTGTCTCCGGGCCCAGCTCAGCACTAGGACTTGCAGTCCTTGTGGCCTACACTTGGGATTGGGCATAGGAAATAGAGTTAGGGGCCGGGTGAGGTGGCTCACGCCTGTAATCCCAACACTTTAGGAGGCCAAGGGGGGTGGATCACCTGAGGTCAGGGAGTCAAGACCAGACTGGCCAACATGGTGAAACCCTGTCTCTACTAAAAATACAAAAATTTGCCAGGCGGGGTGGTGGGCACCTGTAATCCCAGCTACTTGGGAGGCTGAGGCAGGAGAATCAATTGAACCCGGGAGGTGAAGGTTGCAGTGAGCTGAGATGGTGCCATTGCACTCCAGCCTGGGCAATAAGAGCGAAACTCCATCTCAAAAAAAAAAAAAAAAAAGAAGAAGAAGAAAAGAAAAAGAAAGTAGAGTTAGGGATGGGAAGGGAGATGACGAAGTCTTTTGCGAAGGAAACATAAAGCCGAGGCAAGGGGCTTTGTTGCAGGGAGGGGTCTGTTCCTGTAGCTTGGTCAGCTTTGTGCTTCCACTTATGTTTCCTATTGGGGCCCCTTCCTGTGCCCTTTGTCCTCGTCTCACTGACAGGTTGCCTTGGAGATGGGGCAGAGGGGTGGGATTATCATGGCCCGATCCTGAAGTATGTGTATAGGGGGTGGGGTAGGGGTGTTGTTAGCTGGTCCTGTCATGGGGATAAAGAAAGATCAGACAGAATAGTGGGAGTAGAGTCCTTGGGGACACCTAAATAAATAAGCAGGGAGGACATAGGAGGAGCAGCTCTCTCTCCAGTAACCTTGATTTCTATTAAACCTTTATGACCTGCTGAAAAAATAAACCCAGAATTCCAGCCTCCATATCCTGAATTTCTCTCCTGTCCAACCATCCCTTCTCTATCCTCCTCATCACCCTCTGTCCAACAAAAGACCTACAGTTCCAGAAAACCATGGTGGAGTGCAAGAACACAGAACTAAAACAGAGCTTGAAACTTAAAGAAAGGGAGAGACTTGGGGGAGGAGTGGGGTGGAGTGACGTGATGTGCTGCTGGAAACCAGCAGTTGGTGGTTTCCTCTTGTGCTTCCTCTTCTGTGGGTTTTCTCCTGCTTGTGGGAGGGCCTTTTTCTCTCCTCCCGACAGAAAGGCTATCTTTGGTGTTCGTTCCCTTGAACTGTAACATCCTGTAAGGGTATGATTCCATGCCTCTGTGTGGGTGTGAATTCCCTCATGGTGACCCTCAAAATCTGCACACAGGACCCCTTCCCATTGAGGGGAGGGGATCAAAACAACTCTACTTCTCAGGGTCCTCTCCTGTTCCAACTGGTCTGTGTCCAAGAGAAGCCTTAGGTAAATGGGGCCAGCTTGAAGATCAAACAGGTTTGGCAGCCTCTCCCGGCCTCTCTTTTCTCTCCTACAGCTTTATAGCTACAGCTGCCTTGATATCAATATTGACTTTGGCTGGCTGGCATGACTACCCACAGGGTATCGTGCCTTAATTTACCAGGTGACAGGCAACGCTGCCCTCTCCTGGAACCATCCAGCAGAGCCAGGGCTGTACCCCCAAATCCTGCAACAGAGGTTTCCCTCCATCTCACCTCCCTGTCCCTGCATTTCTCCTATCTCAGTAGCTCCTCTTTCCCTCTCTGGGCTTCTCTTTCCACTCCCTCCCCTTCCTGGGCTTGGTAAACTAGTCCCTAATCTCTTCACACCCCAGATTGGAAGGTGGGTCCCTCCCTGACACTCCCCAGAGCTGTCACCAACCTCCTCCAAGTTTCTATAGCTCCATTGCTCAACAGATTTGCCAGGGGTAACCATTAACCCAGCCCTTAACTCTGTTCCCCCACCTTTCTTGCTGGAGGGGATTTTCCAATTACTGGTTAGCACAGCTAGGTCATCTCACCCCCACCATCTTTCCTAACTTCTTGGGTTGGGGGGCTGGGGAGGAATCTCCCCATCTCAGGGTACTAGGAACAAAGCTGGGGAGGATGGTGCATTTAAAGGGATTATATATATATATATATATTTTTTTTTTCTTTCTCCCTCATAACCCCACCCCCGCAACACACACACACACACACACACACACACACACACACACACACAGACGCACAAATAAGCTTTATGGAGCAGTGACTTCATTATGTTCACCGCTTTGAGTCCAACCCCTGGCCCAAAATAGGCACTAAATAGTTGCCGAATGCATGAATGATAGATACCTCTCTGTCTTCAGGGGTGTGTAGAAGTGCGAAGGGGTATGGGCATGTCCCAGTAGGGGTGTGAGTGTTCTGATCAGAACTACTTCTCTCTGCCAGAATTTGATGTAATTCGAATGCTTCCACCTCTGCTTGAAGGGTTTAAATAATAAATTAGGCCCTGTCGTGCCATTATGGGGGTGGTCATACCCTGTACCCAGGAAACAGGCACGGTAGGGCTGAGACAGAAGTCCTGCTTGTTTCCGCTTATTTATTTGAAACACCGCTCATTTAGGTCTTACTTTGTTTGCCAGGCACTGTTCTAAGCTCTGTATAAATATTAACTCAGAGGGTACAAATATTAACTTAAGAGTTGTTGCAGGAAAAAAAATAAGCGCCTCTGGCTCTTTAAGTTTGGCCTCCCCCTCAAAACCCCCGCAACGGTCCCAAACCCCTTCCAGGGACTGGGACTACGGACCCTGGTCCGACCTTCTCGCGGGCTTCCCACTACGCCAATCAAATCCCAGAAACAGTGAGTGCTAGAGGCCCGGCTGCTAAGCAACGGCAGAGGGCGGGAAGTTTGAACGTTCTGGACCCGCCCCGAAGGCAAATAGGCCAATCAGCGTCCAGACTCTTCAGCTACGGCAGTCCGCTTCTCCTCCTCGCCCTGTCGGATCTCTAGGCTGGATCCGGGCCTCTCCAATCAACAGCGGCTAGGAGGGCGGGGCGCGTGCGCGCGCACCTCGCTCACGCGCCGGCGCGCTCCTTTTGCAGGCTCGTGGCGGTCGGTCAGCGGGGCGTTCTCCCACCTGTAGCGACTCAGGTTACTGAAAAGGCGGGAAAACGCTGCGATGGCGGCAGCTGGGGGAGGAGGAAGATAAGCGCGTGAGGCTGGGGTCCTGGCGCGTGGTTGGCAGAGGCAGAGACATAAGACGTGCACGACTCGCCCCACAGGGCCCTCAGACCCCTTCCTTCCAAAGGGTAACCTCCGCGTGACAGGAATGAGGGTGGGGCGCGTGGAGTTTCCCACAATCTGTACTTTAGTTAAATACCCGAGAATTCACCTCCTGTGTCCACAGCTCTCCACGCCCCTCAGCCCTGCCCCGCAGCCCTGTAGCAGAAGTACTTAGTGCTTTGCATTCTGCGCGCCACCCTACCCCGGCCTCCTCTGTGAATCGTTGCTTCCGAACCGCCCTCACTTTTTGCATCCGCAGAGCCTCCAAGCTCATGGCCTCCTTAGGAGCGAACCCAAGGAGGACACCGCAGGGACCGAGACCTGGGGCGGCCTCCTCCGGCTTCCCCAGCCCGGCCCCAGTGCCGGGCCCCAGGGAGGCCGAGGAGGAGGAAGTCGAGGAGGAGGAGGAGCTGGCCGAGGTCTCTGAGGGGAGTAGAAACTTGAATGGAGAGTTGATGGGAAGTTAGAATAAAAGAGGGTTGGGAGCCGGGCGCGGTGGCTCACACCTGTAATCTTAGCACTTTGGGAGACTGAGGCGGGCGGATCACCTGAGCTCAGGAGTTGGAGACCAGCCTGGGCAACATGGCGAAACCCCGTCTCTACTAAAAATATAAAAATTAGCCGAGCGTGGTGGCACGTGCCTGTTATCCCAGCTACTGGGAAGGCTGAGGCAGGAGAATCACTGTAACTCGGGAGGCGGAGGTTGCAATGAGCTGAGATTGCTCCACTGCACTTCAGCCTGGGCGACAGAGCAAGACTCCGTCTCAAAGAAAGAAAGAAAAAAAAAACAGGGTTGGGAAGAGCTGGGCAAGTCTCTTACCTCCTGAGTGGCTGTTTCACATTCACTAAATGGGGGTGATGATGCCTATCTCAGAGATTTGAGAAAATGATTAAATTATATAAGACATGGTAAACCCTACACTTATGAGTGATTCTAATAGTGATTTCCTTTCTTCCTTGCTGGACAGATCCATCTGTGTGTGCTGTGGAATTCAGGATACTTGGGCATTGCCTACTATGATACTAGTGACTCCACTATCCACTTCATGCCAGATGCCCCAGACCACGAGAGCCTCAAGCTTCTCCAGAGAGGTGGGGATGGAACCATGAATTCCTCTGCTCTCTGGGATTGCAGATGTGTTACACACACACACACACACACACACACACACACACACACACACACACACACATATTTTTTTTTTCTAGACAGAGTCTTGCTCTGTTACCCAGGCTCAAGTGCAGTGGCGCAATCTTGGCTCACTGCAGCCTCCACCTCCTGGGTTCAAGCAATTCTCCTGACTCAACCTCCCGAGTAGCTGGGACTACAGGCGTGTGCCACCACACCCAGCTAGTTTTTTGTGTGTGTTTTTAGCACAGACGGTGTTTCACCATGTTGGCCAGGGTGGTCTCAAACTCCTGACCTTGTGATCCGCCCACCTTGGCCTCCTAAAGTGCTGGGACTACAGGTGTGAGTCACCACGCCCAGCCATGTTTTACTTACATTAACTCACCTCACTGTCTAGCATATTTTGTGTTGCTGTAAGGAAATACCTGACTCTGAGTAATTTGTTAAAAAAAAAAAAAAAGTTTTATTTGGCTTATGGTTCTGGATGGTTGGAAAGCTCAAAATTGGGCATCTTCACTGGTGAGAGCCTCAGACTGCTTCAACTCATGGAAGAAGGGAAGGCAGGGTGTGTAGAGGTCACATGGCAGAGAAGAAGCAAGGGGGAGGGAGATGCCAGGCTCTTTTTGACAACCAGCTCTCTCAGGAACTAATAGAGTGAGAACCTCTCACTCATACCCACCAACACACTCCAGGAAGGGCATTAATCTGTTCATGAGCGATCCACTCCCATCACCCACACACCTCCTGCTAGGCCCTACCTCACAACACTATCACACTGGGGATTAAATTTCAACACGATATTTGGCAGGGACAAATCACATCCAAACTATAGCACTGACTCAATATATTTTACAGTTGCTTCACAGAGGCTCCCTCTTTTGTTTTTATGAATTCATTTCATTATTTAACAAATATTTGTGAGGCTGTTTTTTGGTTTGTTTGGTTGTTCTTTTTTGAGACAGTGTCTTGCTCCGTCACTCAGGCTGGAAGTGTAGTGGTGCCATCTTGGCTCACTGCAACCTCCGTCTCCCGGATTCAAGCAATTCTCCTGCCTCAGTCTCCCGAGTAGCTGGGATTACAAGAATCTGCCATCACGCCTGGCTAATTTTTATATTTTTAGTAGAGGCAGGGTTTCACCACGTTGGCTAGGCTTGTCTTGAGCTCCTGGCCTCCAGTGATCTGCCTGCCTTGGCCTCCCAAAGGGCAGGGATTATAGGCATGAGCCACTGTGCCTGGCCACAAATATATATGACGTATTTACAATGTTTCAGGTGCTTCAGATTCAGCCCTGGGCAAATCAGTCATGTCTGTTCTCCAGGGGTTTACAGCCTAGTGACAACATCCAGAACATCCCACTTCCCTCTCACCATCCCACCACTCTTAACTACTTTTCTAAATCTCAACTTCTACCTGTGTTCCCACTGTGCAGAGCACTCCCTACTCCTAGGGAGGAAATGTTTTTGAGAAGGAGAGGGGTAGGAAGAGGAGGGCTATGGGTTTTCTCTTAGTCAAAGACAAAGATCCTTTAACTCATTTGATCTCTGTTCTCCTTCCAAGTTCTGGATGAGATCAATCCCCAGTCTGTTGTTACGAGTGCCAAACAGGATGAGAATATGACTCGATTTCTGGGAAAGCTTGGTAAGGACTTGGTAAAGGATAGAGGGAAAATGGGGAAGGACTAATATATGGAATATTCCAGGGGGCTAGAATTGGGTGAGAGGGAGTGTCAGACAGAGGTAGAAGGACTGAGATGTAAAGAATGATAGCCTTTTCTTTCCTCCCCCACAGCCTCCCAGGAGCACAGAGAGCCTAAAAGACCTGAAATCATATTTTTGCCAAGTGTGGATTTTGGTATCTCCTTCCTTTTGCTTTGCCTAACTCCCTGTTCCGGTGTCCCATTCTTTCCCCCAACTCTACCTTCATCATCACAGATCTCCCCTCTGCCTTATGTCATCCTAAACCTTTGTGCTCCTCATGCCCTATGACCTGTCCCCCCAAGATCTCTCCTGCTCCCTACCCTTTAATAACCTGCAGCTTATTGGGAAGCCTCTGCTTAAGTCATGTCTAGGGATGAGGGCCTCCCCTGAGGAGTGGTGACACTTTTTGGACAGGGTTTTATTGTTGGAATTCTCCCCATTAAGTTAAAGCCTTTTATCACCAAACCAAAAGGCACTGCCTCAGTGACCCTTATTATGATCCATAAGGCACTTCTATAACTTTCCTAGGTTTACAATAAGAACAGGAGTGTACTATCCTAATTAGATATTAAGGCATTAGTGTTACTAGTTCTATTAATACCATTATTTTGACCAAAATCCTCAATTCCAGACAGATGTCTACTTTCCTCAGCCATTTATCTTTCTCAGGCTGTGCTTTCAGACAAGTATCTTTATATTATATGTAGAATAAAAAGAGAATTAGACTAAGAGTCTGAAAATTTGGTTCTTGCTCTAGCTTTCCATTAACTGCCTGTGTGAGCTTGGGCAAGTCAAATAATCTCTCTTGCTTCTATTGTCTCATTCTTAAAATGGGGTGAAAAAATTGAGCTACAAGACCGTTCCCTTTGCTTGCCTCCCTCAAATAGGTCTGGAGATAAGCAAACAACGCCTCCTTTCTGGAAACTACTCCTTCATCCCAGACGCCATGACTGCCACTGAGAAAATCCTCTTCCTCTCTTCCATTATTCCCTTTGACTGCCTCCTCACAGTGAGATTGGTCCTGGGGGATAAGGGCTGGGAGGCGGCACAAGTGCTAGGGCTGAATTCTGGGAGGTACTGGCCTAGCCCTGGAAAATAGTAACTTTCCCTGGTGCTCTGCAGCCCCCAGGAGATTTAAGATTTACCCCGATTCCACTGCTGATCCCCTCCCAGGTTCGAGCACTTGGAGGGCTGCTGAAGTTCCTGGGTCGAAGAAGAATCGGGGTTGAACTGGAAGACTATAATGTCAGCGTCCCCATCCTGGGCTTTAAGAAATTTATGTTGTAGGTGATTCACCCCAACCCCAACCAAAGTAATGTGGGATTGGGAGGCCTGAAAAGTAAAGTGGGGGTGGGGTGTGGATGTGGCTGTGACCCAGTGGGTCAAGTGCTCTAGGACACCCGGGAGAATCTAAGGGCTAATGAGACTTTGGGAAGAAGACTGGGACAATATTCAGAGAGGGGGACAAAGGAAGTGGAGTTGTGGAACGAACTCAGACTGCTTCCTGCTTTTTTGTTTTCTGTCCTCAGGACTCATCTGGTGAACATAGATCAAGACACTTACAGGTAAAGAGGTGGAGGCATGCTGCTGTCTCTGGGGAGGGAGAAGGATTAAGTTTAATGCCCCAATAATCCTAATGAGGCTCTAGTTTCCCTAATCCTGGGGCTATTAAGATCTCTCTCCTTGAAGGAAAGGGAAGGGGGGTTTTGAGGGAAAGAGAGGAAGAAAAGCATAAAGATACTAGCTTTCTTTTCTATAGGGAGAAACTGAGGCAAAGAAAAGTAAGGGACAAACCTTACATCAAGATATGATCTCGGCTGGGCGCGGTGGCTCATGCCTGTAATCCCCGCGCTTTGGGAGGCCAAGGCGGGTGGATCGCCTGAGGTCAGGAGTTTGAGACCTGACCAATATGGTAAAACCCCGTCTCTACTAAAAATATAAAAATTAGCTGGGTGTGTTGTGCGCCTGTAATCCCAGCCACTCAGGAGGCTGAGGCAGGATTGCTTGAATCCAGGAGGCAGAGGTTGCAGTGAGCTGAAATTGCACCACTGCACTCCAGCCTGGGCGACAGAGCGAGACTCCATCTCAAAAAAAAAAAAAAAAAAAAAAAGACGTGATCTCAGGAGGATATCCCCTGTCCCCATTCCATTTATCAGTCCTCAATTCTTATTCCCTTCAAAAGTCCAAGTTACCCCAAACTCCTCCATTTCTCCTCGACAGTGTTCTACAGATTTTTAAGAGTGAGTCTCACCCCTCAGTGTACAAAGTGGCCAGTGGACTGAAGGAGGGGCTCAGCCTCTTTGGTAGGTGTGCCCCATCCCTCATCTCACATTACAAAGACCTACCAGAAAAGCAATTGGCTCCAAAGATGTGTCCCAGCCTCCCTTCCCACTTCACTCCCATTGTCAGATATCTCTTTCATGCCAATCCAAATTTCTTACCTATTTGTACCCCCCGCCCCCCAAGCTTGAGCATCTTCCCATACTTTGTGGCTGTACAGTGTTGTTGCATATCAGCCATTACTTTACCAATTCTGTGTTCCTTCCCTGGGTTTGTATGAATGTTTCTACTAGTTGGGTACCTGTTAGGGACTTTGGGAGACCTTGTGTATAGAGAAGAGTTTTGTAACTGCATAACTGCCTATTTGATTTGTATAGAGTCTTTATCAGTTGTCTCTGGCTTTAGGGTATATTAGGGACATCTCCGCAAATATCCATATAGTTTCATATCTCAGTAAGTTGTGTCCAGGTTTTTTTTTTTTTTTTTTTTGATACAGAGTCTCGCTCTGTCGCCCAGGCTGGAGTGCAGTGGTGCAATATCAGCTCACTGCAAGCTCTGCCTCCTGGGTTCACACCATTCTGCTGCCTCAGCCTCCTGAGTAGCTAGGACTACAGGTGCCCACCACGATGCCTGGCTAATTTTTGTATTTTTAGTAGAGAACGGGTTTCACTGTGTTAGCCAGGATGATCTCGATCTCCTGACCTCGTGATCCGTCCACCTCGGCCTCCCAAAGTGCTGGGATTACAGGCGTGAGCCACCGCACCTGGCCAGTTGTGTCCAGTTTTGTGTGTGTGTGTGTGTGTGTGTGTGTGTGTGTGAGACGAAGTCTCGCTCTTGTCCCCCAGGCTGGAGTGCAATGGTGCGATCTCGGCTCAATGCAACCTCTGCCTCCTGGGTTCAAGCGATTCTCCTGCCTCAGCCTCCTGAGTAACTGGGATTACAGGCACCTGCCACCACGCCCAGCTAATTTTTGTATTTTTAGTAGAGACGGGGTTTCACCATGTTGCCCAGGCTGGTCTTGAACTCCTGACCTCAGGGGATCCACTCGCCTCAGCCTCCCAAGGTGCTGGGATTACAGGCATGAGCGACCGCGCCCGGCCGTCCAGTTTTTTACATATGTGTGTTGGGCTCTTGAGTTTTTTGTTTGTTTGTTTGTTTTTTAGATGGAATCTTGCTGTGTCACCCAGGCTGGAGTGCAGTGGTACAATTTAGGCTCACTGCAACCTCCGCCTCTTGGGTTCAAGTGATTCTTCTGCCTCATCCTACCTCAGCCTCCTGAATAGCTGGAACTACAGGCCTGCACCACCATGCCCAGCTAATTTTTTTGTATTTTTAGTAGAGATGGTGTTTCGCCATGTTGCCCAGGCTGGTCTCAAACTCCTGAGCTCAAGTGATCCTCCTGCCTTGGCCTCCCAAAGTGCTGGGATTATAGGCATGAGCCACCCTGCCCGGCCAGCTATTGAGTTTTTGTATTTTTGGAGGGGCGGGAGGGCTCTTGAGTTTTTTGTGTTTTGTTTGTTTGTTTATTTGTTTCGTTTTGTTTTGAGACGGAGTCTTGCTCTGTCACCCAGGCTGGAGTGCAGTGGCGCGATCTCCGCTCACTGCAAGCTCTGCCTCCCGGGTTCATGCCATTCTGCTTCAGCCTCCCGAGTAGCTGGGACTACAGGTGCCTGCCACCATGCCCGGCTAATTTTTTGTATTTTTAGTAGAGACTGCGTTTCACCATGTTAGCCAGGATGGTCTCGATCTCCTGACCACGTGATCCGTCTGCCTCGGCCTCCCAGAGTGCTGGGATTACAGGCGTGAGCCACCGTGCCTGGCCAGTTCTTGAGTTTTAACTAGGTCTGCTTTGTGTATTTTTCTGGCTAAGTGTCCCTGTGAGTGTCCATCCCTTCCCCCATCTCCATGTACGGTAATCCCAGCTCATATTTGTGGCCAGGCACCAGCTTTGGCTGCCTTTGTGCCCTCCCAGGCCAGCTTCCTCAACAACCAGCACCTCTGACCTGGATGCCTCAGCTTAGACACATAAACACATTCCATTCCCTGTCCCTGCCTTGTAACAAGTTCACTCCCTGCCTTATCCCTCACAGGAATCCTCAACAGATGCCACTGTAAGTGGGGAGAGAAGCTGCTCAGGTGAGTGGGTCCCACACATACTACACACTAATGCATGAATTCCATATGCACACTACATACTAAAGCCTACTAATGGCAGTATACAGATTCTCACATACACCACCCCACCTAGTAGTAGTAAAGCAACTGCCCTTTACTGAGCACTGGCTAACTGCATTTCATCCTTATAACAGCTTTGTGTAGTAGCTGATATGCATCTCATTTTTTGTTGTCAGCGCAGGTACACATATACCCATTGATGATACACAGACTTGCACACATACAAGCAGCAGGAAAAAACACAAAATGTAAGGCCGGGCACAGTGGCTCACACCTGTAATCCCAGCACTTTGGGGGGCCAAGGTGGGTGAATCACTTGAGGTCAGGAGTTTGAGACCAGCTGGCCAACATGGTAAAGCCCCATCTCTACTAAAATGCAAAAATTAGCCAAGCGTGTTGGTAGGTGCCTGTAATTCCAGCTACTCAGGAGACTAAGGCAGGAGAATCGCTTGAACCCAGGAGGTGGAGGTTGCAGTGAGCCAAGATTGTGCACTGCACTTCAGCCTGGGCAACAGAGTGAGACTCCGTCTCAAAAAAAAAAAAAAATGCTAATGTAACACATGGCTATGTTAGCATGGTTATCTTTAGTTATAGAAAACACACTTCACATTTCTGTGATGACTCTCAAATTTGTGTCTCTAGTTTTGAACTCCGTATGTGAATGTTAATTGCATATCACCACCTGCAGTTTTCACAGGCAGCTCAAACTCAGAGCATCCAAACTGATGCCCACCAGATCTGTTCCTCTTCCTGCATTCCCTTTGCTGGTTAATGGCATTGCTGGCAGTACACCTTCTCAAGCCATGAACCTTGGATTGATGCTAGAAACAAAAAACCTGTCATTCCAAAACAGAGATCTAAGCATGTCACTCCTTTTTTTTTTTTTTTTTTTTTTGTGACTGAGTTTCGCTCTTGTTGCCCAGGCTGGAGTACAATGGCACGATCTCTGCTCACTGCAACCTCCACTTCCCGGGTTCAAGCAATTCTTCTGCCTCAGCCTCCCAAGTAGCTGGGATTACAGGCGCCCACCACCACACCTGGCTAATTTTTGTATTTTCAGTAGAGGCGGGGTTTCACCATGTTGGTCAGGCTGGTCTCGAACTCCTGGTGATCCGCCCACCTCGGCCTCCCAAAGTGCTGGGATTACAGGCATGAGTCACTGCGCCTGGCCGTCACTCCACTTTTTAAATAGCCTAAGTAGAAAGAAAATAACATAAACCTTAGGAGGTTTTCCCATTACCTTCAGGATTAAGATTAGCATCTTAAGCAGTATAATGATGTTCAGGGTCCATCACGTTTACCCCAGTTTTAATTTCCAGACTCACCTTCCAAAGCCCCTTCTAAGTCCTTTCCTACTGGATCTACCTTATATTCTAGTCATTTAGGGCCACTTGCCATTATGGAAACATGTCATGCCTGTGTTTATGCTGCTCCTTCTGGAAAGTCTTTTTTTTTTTTTTTTTGAGACGGAGTCTCCCTCTGTCACCCAGGCTGGAGTGCAGTGGCGCGGTCTTTGCTCACTGCAACCTCCACCTCCCAGGTTCAAGCAATTCTCCTGCCTCAGCCTCCGGAGTAGCTGGGATTACAGGGACCCACCACCATGCCTGGCTAATTTTTGTATTTTTAGTAGAGATGGGATTTCACCATGTTGGCCACGCTGGTCTTGAACTGCTGACCTCGTGATCTGCCCACCTCGGCCTCCCAAAGTGCTGGGATTACAGGCATAAGCCACTGTGCCCGGCCTGGAAAGTCTTTTCCTTGTTCTGTACCTATCAAAATCTTACATCCAGGTCAGGCGCGGTGGCTCACGCCTGTAGTCTCAGCATTTTGGGAGGCTGAGGTGGGTGGATGATTTGAGGTCAGGAGTTCAAGACCAGCCTGGCCAACTTGGTGAAACTTCACGTCTACCGAAAATACAAAAATTAGCCCAGCATCATGGCGCATGCCTCTAGTACCAGCTACTCAGGAGGCTGAGGCAGGAGAATTGCTTGAACTCGGGAGGTAGAGGTTGAAGTGAGCCCAGATTGCCCCACTGCACTCCAGCCTGGGCAACAGAGTGAGATTCTGTCTTAAAAAAAAAAAAAAGTGCATCCTCTTCAAGGTGCAATCCAACTGTTACCCTTTGGCTTTTACAGGTACCTGTAAGGAGTTGATGTGCACCTTCTTTGTGCTCACATAGTGCTTGTTTATGTTTTTCTAGTTGCACTGTCACATCATGTTAGAATTAGCAGTCAGTGAATCTGCTTGCCTCCATAGCTATGAACTCTATCTAGTAGCTATACCTGTTACCTCAGTGTCTGACACATGGTCTTGTACATAGTAGCACTCAATGTGTGAACACAACGCAAATGTAAACGCACTGGTGACATCATCTCTAAACAGAGTGGAAACCTTTGCTAGCCTCAGGTGCACAATCCTTCCCCTACCTCACCTCCCGCTGCAATATGTATCTTGTAGGAGTTAATTTAGGATAATCTCTGAGGTCATCTCCAGGTAATCAGCATCTCCAGGAATCGGCAGGGTAATTTAATTACCCACACATTCTTCAGTGCTTCAGGTGCAGATCTTTAATCTCAGCCACAGATGGGAGGGAGAGAATTCTCAGTGGAGAAGAGAGCTGGATTTAAGGTCGGGGAGGAATGCGTATTCCCCAAATGGAATCAGACAGGGCATGAGATCATATAACTTGAAGAATCATCATATAATCTAATGAACTAAGGACAGGTGACATATTTATTAATATTTCTGTATACGAATTTATTTTAATTTATTAGGAAATACCTCTAACGTACAAAAAGATGTAAATAATAATATAGGGCCAGATGTGGTGGCTCACGCCTATAATCCCAGCATTTGGGAGGCTGAGGCAGGAGGATTGCTTGAGGCCAGGAGTTCAAGAACTAAAAGCTGTACAGGCACCAAGAATATGACTGAATGTCACAGTATGCTCTAAAGGGCACTGTCCTAGGAGTCTGGAGACATGATTTTGAGACTTAGCTGTTCTCATTGGCGGTATGACTTTGGGCAAGTTGCTTATCTTTTAACGGTTTCATTTTCTCAGTTGTTAAATTTACAGTTTGGTTTAACTAAAGTCTCTCCCAGTACGAGCAGGGCGTGAGTCAGAGATACCTAAGTGTTTAGTGCAGCGCATGTGCTTTCTAAAGTGGGGATGGCTATTTACAGACTGGCCTACACTGTTCTGGTGGGAGCCCTCAGTGACCAAGGAGCAGAGGTACCTGAAACCCACCCTTGAAGCCATCTGGATGCTCCGCTTCATTCAAATCTGGGGTGTTCTAACCCAAAGTAACTGGCCACAGACTGCAATGTAAGATACAAATCTTCAGGACCTAGTGTGTGCACATGTTGGCTCTTATATAAGATGGCATCCTTAGTACTTGTTCTATGTAGAAAAGAATTTGTGGGCTCACAAGTCCCTACAGAGTCTCACACTCTCATGGCCAATAAGTATACAGGGATACCCGGAATTAGACAAACACAGATGAGACATTTATTTCTGTATATGAATTTATTTTATTTATTTATTTATTTTTTGAGACAGAGTCTCACTCTGTCACCCATCCTGGAGTGCAGTGGCCTGGCTCATTGCAAGCTCCACCTCCCGGGTTTACACCATTCTGCCTCACCCTCCCGAGTAGCTGGGACTATAGGTGCCCGCCAACACGCCCGGCTAATTTTGTTGTGTTTTTAGTAGAGACGGGGTTTCACCGCGTTAGCCAGGATGGTCTTGATCTCCTGACCTCGTGACCCGCCCTCCTTGGCCTGCCAAAGTGCTGGGATTACAGGCGTGAGCCACCGCACCTGGCCTGAATTTATTTTCATTTATTAGGAAATACCTCCAACACACAAAAAGATGTAAATAATTAGCCGGGCGTGGTGGCTCATGACTGTAATCCCAGCACTTTGGGAGGCCGAGGCAGGTGGAACACCAGAGGTCCGGAGTTTGAGACCAGGCTGGCCAACATGGTGAAACCTCATCTCTACTAAAAATACAAAAATTAGCCGGGAGTGGTGGTGCACCCCTGTAATCCCAGCTACTCCAGAGGCTGAGACACGAGAATCGCTTGAACCTGGGAGGCGGAGGTTGCAGTGAGCTGAGATCGCACCACTGCACTCCAGCCTGGACAACAGAGCAAGACTCTGTCTCAGAAAAAAAAAAAAAGATGTAAATAATAATACTATCGGGCCAGGTGCAGTGGCTTATGCTTGTAATCCCAGCACTTTGGGAGGCCATGGCAGGAGGACTGCTTGAGGCCAGGAGCTTGAGAACAGCCTGGGCAACATAGCAAGACCTCGTCTCTATAAAAACTATTAATAGTAATACAAATGGCCAGGCGCAGTAGCTCATGCCTGTAATTCCAGCACTTTAGGAGGCTGAGGCAGGCAGATCACCTGAGGTCACGATTTTGAGACCAGCCTGGCCAACACAGCGAAACCCTATCTCTACTAAAAATACAAAATTTAGCTGGGCATGGTGGCACACACCTGTAGTTCCAGCTGCTGGGGAGGCTGAGGCAGGAGAATCACTTAAGCCTGTGAGGCAGAGGTTGCAGTGACCCGAGATCCCGCCACTGTACCCTAGCCTGGGCGACAGAGCAAGACTCCATCTCAAAAATAATAATAATAATACAAATATCTATATATCCATCAGCCAATTTAAGAATAAGACATGCCGGGCGCGGTGGCTCATGCCTGTAATCCCAGCACTTTGGGAGGCCGAGGCGGGTGGATCACAAGGTCAGGAGTTCAAGACCAGCCTGGCCAAGATGGTGAAACCCCGTCTCTACTAAAAATACAAAAATTAGCTGAGCACAGTGGCGGGTGCCTGTAATTCCAGAACCTGGGAGGTGGAGGTTGCAGTAAGCCAAGATTGTGCTACTGCACTCTAGCCTGGGCGACAGAGCAAGACTCTATATAAAAAATAAAATAAAAAAAAAGAATAAGACACTATTGGCCGGGTATGGTGACTCACGCCTGTAATCCCAGCACTTTGGGAGCCGAGGCGGGCAGATCACGAGGTCAAGAGATCGAGATCATTCTGGCCAACATAGTGAAACCCTGACTCTACTAAAAATACAACAATTAGCTGGGCATGGTGGCGCATACCTGCAGTCCCAGCTACTCGGGAGGCTGAGGCACGAAAATCACTTGAACCCGGGAGGTGGAGGTTGCAGTGAGCCGAGATCGCATCACTGCACTCCAGCCTGGCGACAAAGCGAGACTCTGTCTCAAAAAAAAAAAAAAACGAAAGAATAAGACGTTGTTGAAGCCCCTTAAATGTCCCTCCCCAATCCTTTTTTCTCTGCAGTGTTGACCATTATTATGAATTAAAGCTTATCATCCCTAATGGGACAGTTATGTTTTCACAGGAAGAATATGAAAAGATGAATGTCTGTTGCTGTTACCCAGAGACACTTTCACAGCTAAAAAGACATACAAACTCATACTGACTCACCGTCTCTTACTCAGCCTCAGAGTGAGCTGCAGTGTTGGCACACAAATACCTCAACACACTGCTCTCCTTCTAAAATATTGACAAGCTCCGTTACTTATATACATGGAATGACACACGGTCTTATCCGTTGAAACTGTGATATGTAGACACAATTATGCTCACATCTAGCAATTTTCAGTAGATACATGTAAACACACCTGAATGGGTAGGACACTGCACTTGCCACTACATTCCCATAGCACATCGTGGATACATATTGCCACAATCCCCAGGGACTGCAAGCACACTTTTTGGCAAACTGAGATCAAGATGATAGATGTAACTTGTAGTACCCCCACCCAAACCCTCACTTCCAGGCTATGGTTCACACGTCCGACTCATGACCTGGGGGAGCTCAGTTCTCGTCTGGACGTCATTCAGTTTTTTCTGCTGCCCCAGAATCTGGACATGGCTCAGATGCTGCATCGGCTCCTGGGTCACATCAAGAACGTGCCTGTGAGCCCAGGGTGGAGGGCAGGGAGGTGGGGAAGGAGGTTGAGGGCTGATACTGGGCAGTGGGCTTCTTGAGGGGCATTAGAGTGAGGGAAGAGAAAACAGCGGCTGTAACCTTGTCTGACTGTAGCTGATTCTGAAACGCATGAAGTTGTCCCACACCAAGGTCAGCGACTGGCAGGTTCTCTACAAGGTAAGGCCTTCCTTCTTGAATCCCAAAAGTCCAGGTAAAGGCCCTCAGCCTGTATTCCAGACTGTCTGTACCCTAGACATGCTGTCCAATTTTATTCTACCCTCTTTTTTTTTTTTTTGGAGACAGCCTCGCTCTGTCGCCCAGGCTGAAGTGCCATGGGGCGATCTTGGCTCACTGCAACCTCCGCCTCCTGGGTTCAAGCAATTCTGCCTCAGCCTCCCGAGAAGTTGGGATTACAAGCGCCCGCCACCATGCCTGGCAAATTTTTGTATTTTTAGTAGAGACAGGATTTCACCATGTTGGCCAGGCTGGTCTTGAACTCCTGACTTCAGGTGATCCACCTGCCTCAGCCTCCCAAGGTGCTGGGATTACAGGTGTGAACCACCAGGCCCGGCCTCCCTCTTTTTTTTTTTAACTTTGTATTCAGGAAAATGTAAAAAATATTTAGAATAATATAATTAACCCCCATGTACCCACCATGCAGTTTCAACACTTTAACTTACGCCAATTTTTTTTTATTTCTTTTTCTTTTTTTTTTTAGACAGAGTCTTGCTCTGTCGCCCAGGCTGGATTGCAGTGGTGCGATCTCGGCTCACTGCAACCTCTGCCTCCCAAGTTCAAGTGATTCTCCTACCTCAGCCTCCCAAATAGCTGGGATTACAGGTGCCCACCACCACACTGGAGTGATTTTTGTATTTTTAGTAGAGATGGGATTTCACCATGTTGGCCAGGCTGGTCTCAAATTCCTGGCCTCAAGTGATCTGCCCATCTCGGCCTCCCAAAGTGCTAGGATTATAGGTGGGAGCCACCGTGCCCAGCCTAGTATGTGTCATCTATATCTTTTTCTACTTTCCCCTCTTGGATTATTTTGTGGGTTTTGTTGTCGTTTGTTTGTTTTTTTAAATAAGGTCCTGCTTTGTCACCCATACTAGAGCAGAGTGGTGCAGTCATATTTCATTGCAGCCTCTAACTTCTGGGCTCAAGCAATCCTCCCACCTTAGCCTCCAGAGTAACTGGGACTATAAGCCTGAGATGCTGCACCTGGCTTTCTTGGATTATTTTGAAGCAAGTCCCAGCCATTATATCATTTCATCCATAAATATTTCAGTGTAATTTCTTTTTTCTTTTTTTTTTTTTTTTTGAGATGGAGTCTCACTCTGTCACCAGGCTGGAGTGCAGTGGCATGATCTCGGCTCACTGCAACCTCCGCCTCCCAGGTTCAAGCGATTCTCCTGCCTCAGCCTCCCATGTAGCTGGGATAACAGGCACATGCCACCATGCCCAAGTTTTTTTTTTGTATTTTTAGTAGAGACAGGGTTTCACCATGTTGGCCAGGATGGTCTTGATCTCCTGACCTCGTGATCCACCCGCCTCGGCCTCCCAGAGTGCTGGGATTACAGGCGTGAGCCACCTCACCCGGCCAATATTTCAGGGTAATTTCTAAAAGAAAATTATTTTTTAAAAAGAATAACAGTATTGTTATCTTACTTTAAAAATTGTATTATTTGGTATCATCAAATATCTGAAATTTTTCTTTTTTGAGACAGGGTCTCACTCTGTCACCCAGGCTTGAGTGCAATGGCACAATTGTAGCTCACTGCAGCCTCAAACTGTTGGGCTCAAGCGATCCTCCCCCCTCAGCCTCCTGAGTAGCAGGGACCACAGGTGATGGCCATCACACCGAACTAAGTTTTTATTTTTTGCTTGCATTTATTTATTTATTTATTTATTTATTTATTTATTTATTTATTTTTGAGACGGGATTTTGCTCTTGTAGCCCAGGCTGGAGTGCAATGGTGTGATCTCGGCTCACCGCAACCTCCACCTCCTGGGTTCAAGTGATTCTCTTGCCTCAGCCTCCCAAGTAGCTGGGATTACAGGTGCGTGCCACCACGCCCAGCTAATTTTGTATTTTTAGTAGAGACAGGGTTTCTCCCTGTTGGTCGGGCTGGTCTCGAACTCCCGACCTCAGATGATCTGCCTGCCTCGGCCTCCCAAAGTGCTGGGATTACAGGCGTGAGCCATTGCACCTGACCAATTTTTTATTTTTTGTAGAGACAGGATCTCACTATGTTGCTCAAGGTGGTCTCAAACTCCTGAGCTCAAGTGATCCTCCTGCTTGGGCCTCCCAAAGTGCTGAGACTATTGGTGTGAGCCACGATGCCCAGTCAGATGATGGCCCTAGTCCTTTTTAATCTACCGGTTCCTTCTCTATCTTTTCTCTCTTGTTCTTTCTTTCTTTTTCTCTTTTTCTTCTCCTGGCAATTTGTTGAAGAAACTAGATTATTATTTGTCTTATAGTGTTTTCCATTAGCCTGGATTTTGCTGTTTGCATTTCCTAGATGTTTTTGGCACATTTCTCTCTCTTCTATAGTTTCTGTAAATTAATATTTAGTTCTAGAAGCATGATTAGGTTCAGAGTTTTTTTTTTTTCAATACTGTTTTAGAAGTAGAGGAACATAATGTCTGATATGTCCGATTGTCTCTCTTTTTCTGATGTTGGCAAATGTTCTGATGTTTAATACCTAAATCTATTATTCATTTATTTATTTATTTATTTAGTTTGAGGTGAGTCTCCCTCTGTCGCCAGGCTGAAGTGCAGTGGCACGATCTTGGCTCACTGCAACCTCCGCCTCCTGAGTTCAAGTGATTCTCCTGCCTCAGCCTCCTGAGTAGCTGGGACTTACAGGCGCACACCACCACGCCCAGCTAATTTTTGTATTTTTAGTAGAGACGGGATTTCACCATGTTGGCCAGGATGGTCTTGATCTCTTGACCTCAGGTGATCCACCCGCCTCAGCCTCCCAAAGTGCTGGGATTACAGGCGTGAACCACTACACCCAGCCATCTATTAATTCTTTAGCAATTACAAAGTAGTAGCATTTAAATCTCTGATTCTTTCTTCATTTATTAGCCAGAAATTTCTGTAAAGAGAAACTTCCTTTTATGTACTATTTGGTTGCCAAGTGATAGAAATCATATAGAAATACAGAAAATTGCTTGATATTTCCCCCACTCTTTTTTTTTTGAGACAGAGTCTTGCTCTGTCACCAGGCTGGAGTGCAGTGGCACAATCTTGGCTCACTGCAACCTCCACCTCCCGGGTTGGGTTTCAAGTGATTCTCCTGCCTCAGCCTCCCGAGTAGCTGGGACTATAGGCGTGTGCCACCATGCCTGGCTAATTTTTGTATTTTTAGTAGAGACAGGGTTTCACCATGATGGCCAGGATGGTCTTGATCTCTTGACCTCGTGATCCACCCGCCTCGGCCTCCCAAAGTGCTGGGATTACAGGTGTGAGCCACCATGCCCAGCCCTTTTTTTTTTCCCCAATATGGAACGCTTCTTGAATTTGTGTCATCCGTGCCCAGTGGCCGTGCTAATCCCTGTAACCTTCGAAATTTCAGTATATGTGCTGCAGAAATGAGCACCCCCCACCTTTATTTACTAGCTATCAATATGGTAAATTAGTTCCCTAACATTCTCCAAGATAGCCATGAGATTTTTTTGTTTTTTGTTTGTTTGTTTGTTTGTTTGTTTGAGATGGAGTCTTGCACTGTTGCCCAGGCAGGAGTGCAGTGGCGCGATCTCGGCTCACTGCAAGCTCTGCCTCCCGGGTTCGCGCCATTCTCCTACCTCAGCCTCCTGAGTGCCTGGGACTACAGGCGCCCGCCACCACGCCTGGCTAATTTTTTGTACTTTTAGTAGAGACAGGGTTTCACCCTCTTAACCAGGATGGTCTCAATCTCCTGACCTCGTGATCCACCCGCCTCAGCCTCCCAAAGTGCTGGGATTACAGGTGTGAGCCACCGCGCCCGGCCCTGATAGCCGATGAGGTTTTTTTGTCATTGTTCTTCTTGTATCATTACAGACTCATGGCCTTTTATAGCTATATTTCTCTTTCTCCCGACTCTGTACAAACTCCTTTGTTTTAGAGTTTGCACAACCCTCTATCAAAGCACCTACCACCTCACTTTTAAATCTTCTGCATGTATTTCTGTCTTCCTTCCTAGACTGTGAGCACATCTGGGACAGGGACCATATCTTTTTTTGTTTATTTGTTTTGTTTTGAGACAGAGTCTCGCTCTGTCGGCCAGGCTGGAGTGCAATGGCGTGATCTGGCTATAACCTCCACCTCCCGGGTTCAAGAGATTCTCCTGCCTCAGCCTCCCAAGTAGCTGGAATTACATGTGCATGCCACCAAGCCCAGTTAATTTTTGTATTTTGAGTAGAGACAGGGTTTCACCATGTTGGTGAGGCTGATCTCGAACTCCTGACCTCAGGTGATCTACCCACCTCAGCCTCCCAAAGTGCTGGGATTACAGGCATGAGCCACTGTGCCTGGCCAGGACCATATCTTAATTGTCTTTGTAGTTTCAGTGTTTGGTACAGTGCCTCTCACTGTTTCTTTTTGCCTTTGAGATCTTCCCTCTTTGTTACTGTGATCTTCCCTACTGGTCTTTGTTCTTCTGAGTCTGTCCCTATCACCACCTCAACCCGAGCTGGATGTGGCCTGTCCTCCTTTTTGTGTTTCTCTCACAGACTGTGTACAGTGCCCTGGGCCTGAGGGATGCCTGCCGCTCCCTGCCGCAGTCCATCCAGCTCTTTCGGGACATTGCCCAAGAGTTCTCTGATGACCTGCACCATATCGCCAGCCTCATTGGGAAAGTAGTGAGTAGAAGGAAAAAGGGAGTGCACCCAGGGAGGTCAGGGAGAGAGAATGCAGTGTGCAAGATGGGGAAACATGGAAGATATTGAGGTCAATTGGATAAAGAATGGGATGGTGGGAGGAGGCAGCAGAACTTCAGGGAAGTATCTGGAGGGTGAGAGTTAAAGGAGGACTGCAGGGAGAATTGGGGCCCAAGGAGAGCTGAGGAACAGGACAGAGGGTGCCAGGTCCTAAGAAACAGTACTTATCTCCTCAGGTGGACTTTGAGGGCAGCCTTGCTGAAAATCGCTTCACAGTCCTCCCCAACATAGATCCTGAAATTGATGAGAGTGAGTGTTGGGTGTGGATGGGCCTGTGAGCCCTGCGCAGTGATGGAGTACCATCCTTGGCAGGTGGTCACCACAGCTGGGGATCTTCATAGCAACCAGGGCAGGAGACTCACTTTTGATAACCACGTGTCTTCCACCCTCGTAGAAAAGCGAAGACTGATGGGACTTCCCAGTTTCCTTACTGAGGTTGCCCGCAAGGAGCTGGAGAATCTGGACTCCCGTATTCCTTCATGCAGTGTCATCTACATCCCTCTGGTGAGGGCAGGAGAGTGGGTGTAGCCTTCAGATGTCTTTTGGGGGAGATATTAGGCTTATGAAAGACATACTGGTAGATAAGAAAACTTGTGGGGCAGCCTGAAGAACATGAACACTTTTTTGTGGGGATACAGGGATCTTTTAAGCTCCCTCTAGGGTGGGGAGGTGTCCAGTAAGTCTCCAAGCAGGAGAGTAGAGTATCTCCTCTTTACTCTCCCCAGATTGGCTTCCTTCTTTCTATTCCCCGCCTGCCTTCCATGGTAGAGGCCAGTGACTTTGAGATTAATGGACTGGACTTCATGGTAAGACCCTCAACCTCTGTAAGGTGAGTGATGAGGAAAATGAGTCAGCAGCTGAGGAAGAGCGTTACTCTACAGCAGCACTGCCCAATATGGGATCTCTCCTCTGTAGTTTTACTCTGAGCTTTACCAGCACTGAGACAAAGGAAAGAGAAGTCAGAGTTAGGGGCTGGAGGTGGGGTTAGAAAGATGGGGAAGGAGAGGAGGACCAAGAGATGCAAAGTCCACAGCTTTGAACCCCTGTACCCAGTTTCTCTCAGAGGAGAAGCTGCACTATCGTAGTGCCCGAACCAAGGAGCTGGATGCATTGCTGGGGGACCTGCACTGCGAGATCCGGGGTGAGGAAAAGCCAGAGGTTATATGCATTGTAAGATGTTTAAAAAAAGCAGCAGCCAGGGGAAGGAGGGGAGTGGGCAACTTGGGGATGCTTCCAACAGGCCCCTCCTCTTCCTGCTCTCTGTCTCGCTCACTCTGACTCTATCTTTTCCTCTGAATGTCTTGAGGTCTCAGATTGTATCTGCAACCTGTTTCCAGATCCCCCTAGGGGCCTCTGCCTCTCCTTCACTTTCCCCTGGAACTGACCTCCAGCTCCCTTCCTCACCCACTCCCAGACCAGGAGACGCTGCTGATGTACCAGCTACAGTGCCAGGTGCTGGCACGAGCAGCTGTCTTAACCCGAGTATTGGACCTTGCCTCCCGCCTGGACGTCCTGCTGGCTCTTGCCAGTGCTGCCCGGGACTATGGCTACTCAAGGCCGCGTTACTCCCCACAAGTCCTTGGGGTACGAATCCAGAATGGCAGGTAAGAATAGAGGCGGGTGGAGGAATAGACATGAGGGGCCCAAAGGCTACATCTTCTGGGGGTTCATCTATCTTGATCCACAAGCCATGCGAGGTGCCTCTCCGCCCACTGCAGACATCCTCTGATGGAACTCTGTGCCCGAACCTTTGTGCCCAACTCCACAGAATGTGGTGGGGACAAAGGGAGGGTCAAAGTCATCACTGGACCCAACTCATCAGGGAAGAGCATATACCTCAAACAGGTGAGGAGAAGCCCTGCAGCCTGGGCCTCTGGCGTCTCCTGCATCTACTCCACCCCTACTTGCCAGCCAACTCAGGCTCCTGCAGCTCTTCTCCCATTTTCTGACCCCGCTCTTCATGAAAGGACCATCACCCACATCCCTGTGCTTCCACCTCACATGTTCTTATTCTCCACTGGAGAGCCATGCTCTAATGGAACTTTCCGTGGCCCAAATTCCTTCACCTGCCTCTGAGTAGGTACACACCACTCCCAAGTATGTCTCTGCCCACGTCCCGTGCCTCTTCACTGATTCTAAATTAGCCCACAGGGCTATGGTCAGGATTCGGGGAGGAGAGACAGAGTCAGTGTGTCTGTTACCTATTTCTCCTGTTTCACCCTGTCCATTTCTCTTTGATGTGCCATTCATGCCTTGAGCCTCACTTTCACCTCAGCCCACGGCACCAGGCCCCAGGCCCTGTCTCCTTCCCTATTCAGGTAGGCTTGATCACATTCATGGCCCTGGTAGGCAGCTTTGTGCCAGCAGAGGAGGCCGAAATTGGGGCAGTAGACGCCATCTTCACACGAATTCATAGCTGCGAATCCATCTCCCTTGGCCTCTCCACCTTCATGATCGACCTCAACCAGGTCAAAGGGAACAAAGGGAGGTGGGATTGAGGAAGGGGATAATGGGAAAGGAACCCCTGAAAATGCTCATAACAGGAAAGCATGCCCTCTGCTGCATGCCCTTTATACTAAAAGTGGGGAGCACTAAGGTCAGAGATAAGAAGAATCAATACCATAAACATTTCTTGAACCCTTGTTTCATGTGAGTCACTGTTGGCAAAGAGGATGAACAAAGCGTGCACCTCACCATTCAAGAACTTGCAGTGCAGTAGGGAGGGCATGTATACAGCTTTATTCACAGGCCAACTGTGGTCAGTGCGTTACGGGCTTCCAATACTAACTTTCCCTTGTCCACCTTATACCCAGCAGGTGGCGAAAGCAGTGAACAATGCCACTGCACAGTCGCTGGTCCTTATTGATGAATTTGGAAAGGGAACCAACACGGTGAGGGGAGAAACTGATGAGGGGAGAAACTAAGGAGGGGAAAATGGAGGAGGATGAAGGAGCATGACAGTGAGGCTGGGCCTCTGGAATGGAATAGGGCTGTGTGGGCAGAAAAGAAATAGAACACGAGACAGGGAAAGGCAGTGCAAGTGCAGAGGGGCATATGGGGTCCCCATGGCTCCGAATGCTAACCTCTGCCCTCTTTGCAGGTGGATGGGCTCGCGCTTCTGGCCGCTGTGCTCCGACACTGGCTGGCACGTGGACCCACATGCCCCCACATCTTTGTGGCCACCAACTTTCTGAGCCTTGTTCAGCTACAACTGCTGCCACAAGGGCCCCTGGTGCAGTATTTGGTGAGGAGACCAATCTAGCTCCTCGGGGACCCCCAGGCTGGGCATTTCCCAGAGGTGGGGATTGGCTCCTCTATCAGAACAAGGGCTCCCTCAGCACAGAGACCACATCCCTTCCCTTTTCTCCCTCCCCACAGGATTGGCCAAGGGTTTCAGGACAGGAAGGAGGTGATTGATGATACACTGTCTTTTATTCTCTTTTAAGACCATGGAGACCTGTGAGGATGGCAACGATCTTGTCTTCTTCTATCAGGTTTGCGAAGGTGTTGCGAAGGCCAGCCATGCCTCCCACACAGCTGCCCAGGCTGGGCTTCCTGACAAGCTTGTGGCTCGTGGCAAGGAGGTGATGAGATCCAAATGTGCAACCACCTCCACATCAGAGCTCCCTTTCATTCCTAGTCCTACTGGGCCTGGGTCTAGGTCCACAGGATTTCTGACCCTTATTTCCCCTTCTCTTCCCCACTCCCCTTACTCCTCCCACCTTCTTGCTTGTTCCTAGGTCTCAGACTTGATCCGCAGTGGAAAACCCATCAAGCCTGTCAAGGATTTGCTAAAGAAGAACCAAATGGAAAAGTGCGTATATGGCCCCAGTGTCTTTACCCTCTCTGCATCTTCTCCTGCAACTCTTCTCCCCTTTTCAGGGACTCAGCCTTCCTCCAGCACTTTGCCCTTCAGAAACCCACCATTTCTTTCTGAAATCCCTAAATCTTCAAGATCCCAGGTTTTCTGTGCCACAGCCTCTCCCCTCTGCCCAGGGATTTGGTTGTCCATTCTGCCATAAATCTTGCGATTTTCTCTCTTCTTCAGTTGCCAGACATTAGTGGATAAGTTTATGAAACTGGATTTGGAAGATCCTAACCTGGACTTGAACGTTTTCATGAGCCAGGAAGTGCTGCCTGCTGCCACCAGCATCCTCTGAGAGTCCTTCCAGTGTCCTCCCCAGCCTCCTGAGACTCCGGTGGGCTGCCATGCCCTCTTTGTTTCCTTATCTCCCTCAGACGCAGAGTTTTTAGTTTCTCTAGAAATTTTGTTTCATATTAGGAATAAAGTTTATTTTGAAGAAAGATATTGTTTCTTTAGTCTCAAAACAAGAGACTAGGAAAGATCCAAAACACAGAGCAGGAGTCCACAGGGGAACCTGCCCTGCCTCAGTAAAAATACAGTGTTGTTGCTGTAGGAAGACTCCCGGATTCTACCCCAGGATACTTCATGAGAACGAACCCCTTCAGAGAGGCCCTACAAAACAGATTAGAGGGAAGACAGAGGGGTCCAAGGGAGATGGTCTCTCTTCTCAAGTAGGAACACCCCAGCCTCAGACAGACACAGCAGGAAGGGGCCTGAGAGGCTGACAGAGGCAGGATGGGTGCAAGGCAGGGGTGGAGGGGAGGGACCAGCCCGGGCTGCACCAGTGGGAGTGGCTCCACCCTTCCCACCTCAGAGCCATGGGGAGCCAGGGCTCTGGCGGGGTGCCCTTGGTGCAGGCTCCCTACACAGTCCTGCTGCTGCCGCTGGGGACAAGCCGCCAAGACCCAGGGGCCCAGAGCTTCTTCCTTTGGGTGAGTATCAGCCCAACAAGAGGTCCCAGGGGAACTCTCTCAATAGATCTGCCCTTTATATTTCCATTCAACTTGAGGGCCCACAGTGTTCCCGCCTGCCTCCCCTTGCCCTCCAGGTCCTCAGTGGCCAGTCTGGGTTCACACTCAGTGACCACACAGTGAACCCAACTAGGGGTGGAGAGAAAGGGCCATAACCCAGAGCCCTACTGTGGCGTGAGAGTCAGCCTCTGTGATTGCCTTTCCCAGCTACGCAGGATGCAGGCTCTGGAGAGAGAACAGGATGCCCTGTGGCAGGGTCTGGAGCTGCTACAGCATGGCCAGGCCTGGTTTGAAGACCATCTGAGGGAGGCACAGCGACAGCAGCTGCATCTAGGGGCCCTTGGTGAGGTATGGGGGCTGCCCCTCTGTGTGAATGGGGGGAGGACCAGGGAGGGAGGAACAGGGAATGTGTAGACACAGCCTGAGACCACTCTGGAGAGGGGAGAGTTAATGGTCAGGGATCATGAGTTGGAGGCAGCATCGTAATGACAGGATGCCACCAAGTGTTAAGTTGGTGTTCATTGTTGGGGCTGGAGGAAGCTGGTCTGCATTCCATTCAGAGGGATTTGGATCACTCCATGGAGATGAGGGTGTGGCCTGGATTATTCCAATGGGGCAGGGATGGACAGGGAGGCTCCATGAAGAGTAGTGAAAGGGGGTATTGTGCTATTTGAGGGAGATGGAGGAACTGATGTGCTAAAGAGATGGAGGTGGAGAGTACTGGATTTTCCCACCTGCCTGGGAGGGTACTGGGACGAGGGGATCCAGATGAGAGGGATGGCCTGTGGTGACAGGAATAGAGTGGCAGACGACCTCAGGTTTTCACCATGTTGTCAGCCTCCAACTCCTCCTCTAGAATTTTCTAACAGATTTACACTCAGAGCCTGGTCGCCCCCCGTTAGCCCAGATTCAAAAGGTGAACATCTGTTTGCAGAATCTGATTCATGAGAAGGTGAGTTTATTGTTTTCAGTTTAGACTTTTGGGAAGTTGGACTAGAGAGGGGAGTTGTTGGGGTCAGTGCTGGCTTAACAGAAAACACAGCGAATTTCCCCTCCAGTTCTCCCCAAGTCCACTGAACAAGGCTAGTTCCTGCACCACCCAGGATTCAAAGGAAAGACGAAGGGAGCAGAACTTGTGGCAGCAACAGGTAAACTTCAAGAAGGAGGGCAGGAGCCCCACCCTACAGGGCTGGGAGGAGCCCAGAGGCCCCATCTGTTTCTCCTCCAGGAGTTGTCAAGGCAGCAGAAAGGAGTCACCCAGCCAAAGGAGGAGATGGCTCAGCGGGGCTGCACCAAGGGGCCAAGAGGCCCTACCCGTGTCTAAACCCTCCTCTCACTCCCCTAAGCCTGGTGAAAGAGTCAGAAGCCCCAGGCTCCTTTTTCTGTTTCTTAACTCAACAGCTAAAAAATGGCTCCAGGTAGTGAGTCAATGAAGTTCAGACATGTTGGTGTAAAGTTTCTCCTCTGCTCCTGAAAACTTCATCTTCTTGGTGTCTCATGTCCTCATTCTCCCCTATATGACATGCAAAAACGATCTTTCTTTGAAATCCCTCTGGGAAGAAGCATGTTTATTGAAACTGTCCTTCAGCCTTAAATACAAAAATAAAACTGAAACTGCTCCAGAAAGCAGCTTTCTCCAAAAATGTCTTTGGTTTGTTTCTCATAGGGTTAGGAAAAGTGCATTGTGGGAATATCCATTGCCCTCTATCCCAGTCTTGCAGGGTGTTTTGTTTTGTTTTGTTTCTGAGATAGGGTCTCACTGTCGCTCAGGCTGTAGTGCAGTGGTTCGACCACAACTCACTGCAGCCTCAACCTCCTGGGCTCAAGTGATCCTCCTGCCTCAGCCTCCCAGAGTGCTGGGATTACAGGCGTGAGCCACTGCACCCAGCCCCAGTCTCGAAGTTTCTAAGAAAGGAAAGGGATGTGATGGAGAAAGAAAACCTTCATTGGCTGGGCACGGTGGCTCACGCCTGTAATCCCAGCACTTTGGGAGGCCGAGGCAGGCAGATCACCTGAGGTCAGGAGTTTGAGACCAGCCTGGCCAACATAGTGAAACCCTGTCTCTACTAAAAATACAAAAAATTAGCCGGGCGTGGTGGCGGGCACCTGTGATCCCAGCTACTTGGGAGGCTGAGGCAGGAGAATCGCTTGAACCTAGGAGGCAGAGGTTGCAGCGAGCCGAGATTGCGCCGCTGCACTCCAGCCTGGGCAATGAGCAAAACTACATCTCAAAAAAAAAACAACAACAACAAAAAAGAGAAAACCTTCATCCCAGCTAGGAGAGGTAAGGTCCTAAGACCTATGTGACAAATGTGTCCCAGGTCTTCTTACCAATGGGGCAGGTTGAAAATAGTGCTGGAGACCCATCCCTTTAGAGCCCGTTGTGTCACCAGGAGGCCAGGCCTAGCAGAAGCAGCACCCCTCCAACTGTGCCCCACCAGGGGCTGCCCGCAGCCAGCCCTGCCCCAGCCCTGCCTTGAGTCACCAATGTGAAGGGGGAAAAGGCAGGGGTGGCCGTGGTGAGGATCGGGTCAGATGAGCCGGTAGGGGTGGTGTGCCGGTCCTGTGGGGAAAAGGAAGAGAATGACAGGGTGTGCTAGAGCTGTACTCAAATTAAACCTACACCACCCTCCCCGGCCTTGCCCACCCTGTGATGGAAAGTAGTGGTTCCTCACCTGCGGGGCTGGGGCCGATACCAGGAGCCGGAGGAAAGCATGAGTCGGGGGTACTGGGTTGGCTTCTCGTCCCCCTGCAGTCACAGTCACCATCACCACGGAATCCGGGGCCGCTGAATCTGGGACCTCCAGCCACAGGCGGCCCCAGGCCGACTCATTCAGTTCCAGGTGAGCCCTGGAGAGAGGATATAGGCGTCGCTAAAGCTCCAGGCTGCCCAGAGCCTAGAGTCGGGACGCCTGCAGGGGCACGGGAGCGGAGAGGAGGATTCTGAGGGCCAGTCGGAGGGGGACAGGGGCAGGGCTTGGGATAAGCATTGGCCGGGCAAGATGCCAGAGGGAGCTGGAGGGTTCATGAGCCTCACCTGGAGAGGTTGGAGGTGAGGGAGAAGCTGGGGTTGACGAAAGTCCTAAGGTCAAGATCCTGAGGGCCCGAGAAGCTGGCGATGCGGAGACTGAGCGGGACTTTGCTGCCCGGGGCCAAGAAACCCGAGGGGCCACTAAGCTGCAGAGAAGGGTTCTTCAGGGAAGGGGCCGCTCTAACTCTCTCCAGCCCCAGCCGCACTTTCCCCTGGCGTCTCACCTCCAGAAGGACAGGGACTACAGTGCTAGGCTGAGGGGCAGCCCTGTGCAGGCGCCGCCCCGCTGCGTCCTGGCCAATCAGCTCCAGGGAGAAGGGTCTAGGGGTGGACAGCAGCGTGGGCGACAGCGAGGCTGCGAGGAGACCTCGCTCCGGAGGTCCCACGGGCTCCAAGGGCACCTGGCCTAGTTCGGCACCCTCTGGGACCCCTCGAAGGATGACGTGGGAGAAATGCGGCTGAGGATCCCCAGGATTGGCTCTGGAACCCAACCCTGTCACTTCTACCAGCAGCTGGGTCTGAAGACCTGGGACAGGGGCGAGGAGGGGAGAACATTGTGAGATTCGGAGACACAGGGAGAAAAGAATTAATGGCCTTCAAAATAGGGGTTCCCTCTGGGGAGTATGGATGGGAAAATAGGTTACCTTCGAGGGGTATTGATGGGGAGCATCAGGAGGGAGTTCTGGGGTGCTGGAAATGTTCTATATCCTGAACTGGGTGTATTATATGAAATCCATCAAACTGTACACTTTAGTGCACATTATGTAAATTATAACTCAATATAAAAGTTATGCATATGCACAGATGTATGTATACATATATACATTATATATATAATATATATATTATATATTATATATTTTATATATATATATAAAACTGGGGGTTAGGTGGGTGGGGGCTCAGGGAATAAATGTACCTGCAACTGGCTGAGTCAGGGGGTAGAGGCCAGGGTGGGGTCCATCCTCCATGGGGATCCCAAAGTGGAAGAGGAAGTCCAGGGAGGTCTGGGCTGGGAAAGGGCAAAGGCAGTCAGAGCCCTTCCTGAAAGGAATGTGACTGATCGTGTTCTCTGAGGCCTGCAGTCTCTGCTTCCCCTTCCCAGGAACACCTCCCTCCTTACCTTGCACTCTCACCCCAGGGGTGTCCTCAGCTGTGACCTGGATCTCCCAGGTTCCTGTCTGTGGAGGGTCATCCATGGTCACCATCCAGAACTGCCCAAAGCGGCGAGTGTGACCTAGAGGACCCCCGCCTTCCTCCTGGCCCTGGGAGACCCCTGGGGTCAGGGAAGAGATTGTCACATGAAGCACTTGCTCTCCTTGAGTACATCCCCTCGATTGTCTATTCCCCGGTCCCCTCTCTTCCCTCTACCTTCAGAGGTACCTGCAGGGTTCTTGATCCAGAAGCTGCTGATGTCTCCGTGGATCCGGACTGTGATCTTCTGGAGCAGCCCATCCACGCTGAACACAAGTGGCTGCCCAGGCACCACAACAGGAGGGTCCAGGGGAAGAGTCACCTTGAGGGATTGGCAGGACCAGAAAATGGGGAAGAAGATGAGGTATGGGATGAGGAACAAAGAAGAAAGGGGAGATAGAAAGAAACCACGTCATTGGGCCGGGCGCAGTTGGTCACGCCTGTAATCCCAGCACTTTGGGAGGCTGAGGCGGGTGGATCACAAGGTCAAGAGTTCGAGACCAGCCTGGCCAACACAGTGAAACTACATCTCTACTAAAAAAAAAAAAATACAAAAAATTAGCCAGGTGTGGTGGTGGGCTCCTGTAATCCCAGCTACTTGGGAGGCTGGAGCAGGAGAATCGCTTGAACCCAACAGGCAGAGGCTGCAGTGAGCCAAGATTGTACCATTGCACTCCAGCCTGGGCGACAGTGCAAGACTCTGTCTCAAAAAAAAAAAAAAAAAAAAAAAGAAAGAAAAAGAAAAAAGAAAGAAACCACGTCAAACAGGCAGAAAGGGATACCAGTAAGAGAGGGGCACGGGGCCAGGGATGAAGTTATTATGGTCAGAGACAAAGTTGGAGGCAAGGGATTCAGGATGAGACAATCACATCTTGTGCCCCATTAAAAGATGATAGGCCAGGCGTGGTGGCTCATGTCTGTAATCCCAGCACCTGGGAGACCAAGGCAGGAGGATCACTTGAGGCCAGGGGTTCAAGAACAGCTTAGTCAATATAGCAAGACTCTGTCTCTGCAAAATACAAGCCACCTCCCCAAAAAGATGGTAGGACTTCCTGTGGTAACCCTGGAGGCAGAATACTGGAAGCCAAGTGGGGAGAGGTTTACTGATATAAAAGGACAATGCAGGCCAGGCGTGGTGGCTCGCGCCTGTAATCCCAGCACTGTGGGAGGCCAAGGTAGGCGGATCACTTGCGGTCAGGAGTACGAAACCAGCCTGGCCAAAAAAACGGTGAAACCCCGGCTCTACTAAAAAAATACAAAAATTAGCCAGGCCTGGTGGTGGGCACTGGTAACTCTAGCGACTTGGGAGGCTGAGGCAGGAGAATCCCTTGAACCCGGGAGGTGGAGGTTGCAATGAGCCGAGATTGTGCCACTGCACTCCAACCTGGGTGACCATAAGACTCCATCTCAAAAAAAAAAAAAGAAGTGGCTAGTCATGGATCTAAGAGGAAGAGAAACTTCCTTTCCTGCCCCGTGACTGGAAGAACAACACAGCAGTGAGAGTGATTCCCCTTTCTCCTATAAGAAGAGAGGTGCAGCCTGACCACCCTTCAGTTCCTAAGTGAGGGCCCTGGCCCCCACTTACCAGGGCAGCCATGCTCTCCCCAACAATGGCTGCCACGTCTCGAATGTGCTGGTCTTTGGTGAAGATCACCTCTCCTCCTGAGGCCAGGGCCACTGCTTTGTATGGCTCAAAACGCAGAGGGGACAAGATCTCACGCCGAGCTCGACCCTGAACCCTTGATGTATCTTCAGTCACCAGGAATGTTACCTGTACCCAGAAGAGAGCTCAGTGATTGGGGTGTCCAAGTGCCATCCACTATTATGAATGAGAATCCCTGTGCTCAAGCTTTCTCCAGAGCTGATGGTTTGTGATAAGGTCTCTGCCTGCCTTCTGGCTGCTGGGGTGGGGAATCCCAATGACAGAACCCCCTGCCTTCAGTTAGTAGTTGGCCACCCCCTTGTAACTGTCACAGTGGATTTTTGGCGACTAGAGCCCCAGTTCTTCACATTGTTTATTAGGCAGGGTCAAATAAAAATTCAGCGTTATTAAGGGTAGGGCCTCTTACGTATATCATTAAAGGTATCAGGAAATGTTCCACTCATTGTCTGCTTCTCCCACCATATACCAAGGCTTGTTGGGCCACCATAGTGTGGTGCAACCCTCGTTATGAGATTGTCATCACAGGGTCTCTCACATCCCTGGGAGGCTAACACTGGGTCTCCCACTAGCTCTGCTCACCCGGCAGCGCCGCTCCTGAGTCAGGGATTCCACCTGGTTGGTGAGAAAGGCATCCTTGGGGGAGGCATCCGTGAAGACAAAGATATCTGAGAGTGGAGGTGTGTGCAGCAGGGCCAGCTGGCAGGGAAGGCAACGACCAGTGTTAACAATGGCAGTAGGAGGGGAATGGGTAGAGCCACGGAGGATGAAGCAGAAGGGAATATGGCCCGGGAACCCTACAGTGAAGCTAGTGGATCTAGGTGCTGAAGGTGGTGGGGAGCCCCAGGAGGGATCTAGCTCCCCCTGGTGGTGGGGCCAGGAAACGGGGAAGAAGGGAGGGGCCAGACCTGCAGGGCTGACAGGCACATCTCAGGCTCGTCTCCACCCCCCAAGGCATGGATCTCATTAAGCTGTTGCCAGAAGCTGTCAGGGTCACTGGTTGTAAAGACAGGGCCGAACCCTGGGAAGGGGAAAGGAGGTTAAGATAAGTGAGGAAAGAGCTCCCCTCATTCTTACCCAGAGCCACCTCCCCAGTTGAGGGGCCTGGTGTGCTTCTGGAGCCGACAGGTATTGAAATAACAATACTCCATTATAAGACTCATACTTGGCCGGGTGCGGTGGCTCACACCTGTAATCCCAGCATTTTGGGAGGCCAAGGTGGGTGGATCATGAGGTCAAGAGATCAAAACCATCCTGGCCAACATGGTGAAACCTCGTCTCTACTAAAAAATATAAAAATTAGCTGGGCATGGTGATGCATGCCCGTAGCCTCCCCAGTAGCCTCCCCAGAGGCTCCCCAGTAGCCTCCCCAGCTACTGGGGAGGCTGAGGCAGGAGAATCACTTGAACCCGGGAGGCAGAGGTTGCAGTGAGCCGAGATCGTGCCGCTGCACTCCAGTCTGGCGACAGACTCCATCTCAAAAAAAAAAAAAAAAAGTCATACTTGTCAGTGCAGGGCGGGGCAGGGCGGGGCAGGGCAGGGCAGACCTAGGTGTCCCTGGTGGGAAGGTGGCCTCCACTCCCTGAAAAAAATGGTGGCATTTCCTGTAGGCCTTTATTGGCTACATGTGCGTATATAAAAAAAAAAATGGTCACACCTATTATCCCAGCACTTTGAGAGGCTGAAGTGGGAGGATCACTTGAGCCCAGGAGCTCGAGATCAGCCTGGGTAACATAGTGAGACCCCATCTCTACAAAAAAATACAAAAATTAGCCAGATATGGTGGTGCTCATCTGTAGTCCCAGCTACTCAGGAGGCTGTGGCAGGAGGATTGCTTGAATCGAGGCTGCAGTGAGGCATGATTGTACCATTGCACTCCAACCTGGGTGACAGAGTGAGACTCTCCCTCTCTCTCTCTCAAAAAAAAAAAAAAAGAAAGAAAAGAAAAAAAAAAACTGGGTTTCCTCATAAGAAAAGAGACCGAATAGCACTTACCTCAGAGGTTTATTGGGAGGACTAAATGAGTTGATTTTGCAAATCTTAAGATAGTGCTTTGACACATAAGTGCTAAGTTCTTAGTTATACCTTTATTTATATCTTCATCAAACATAATAAGTCTATTAAATGCCAGCCACTGTAGGATGTATGCAGGCAAATAAGACTCAAATTTAGGCAACTCTCAGTCCAGTAGGCATTTTATTTGATCATCATTTCAACTCTGGGAGTTAGGCAGGATGAGGGAGGTGTCAGGCCTCTGAGCCCAAGCTAACCAATCATATCCCCTGTGACTGGCACTTATACATCCAGATGGCCTGAAGCAACTGAAGATCCACAAAAGAAGTGAAAATAGCCTTAACTGATGACATTCCAACATCCTGCCCCACCCTGATGTGATAACTGATACCCATTTTACAGATGATGAAATCGAGGCAAAGAAAGTTTACATGACCAGCCTAAAGACACACAGTCAGACTCAAGCCAGAGAGTCTAACTTCTAATCAATGGAAAAGGAATACAATGTAGCTAGTTATCTCAGATGCTTCCCAGAAGCCTGGCCCCAACAACCCCATCTTGATACCAATCTCTGTCTATAGGAAATGGAGAGAATTGAAAATGGCGGCCGGGCACGGTGGCTCACACCTGTAATCCCAGCACTTTGGGAGGCCGAGGCGGGCGGATCACGAGGTCAGGAGATGGAGACCATCCTGGTTAACACGGTGAAACTCCGTCTCTACTAAAAATACAAAAATTAGCCGGGCGTGGTGGCGGGCGCCTGTAGTCCCAGCTACTCAGGAGGCTGAGACAGGAGAATGGCGTGAACCCGGGAGACGGAGCTTGTAGTGAGCCGAGATCGCGCCATGGCACTCCAGCCTGGGCGACAGAGCGAGACTCCGTCTCAAAAAAAAAAAAAAAAAAAAAAAAAAGAAAATGGTTTATTAGCATGAAAGCCTAAGAAAGCAGAGGCCACGTGCCAAAGCATGAATCATGCATTAAACTCATGGAAAGTGCTGCCATTTTAGAAAGAGTGGGAGGCAAGTCTGCTAGTTATCTTTTTTTTTTTTTTTAGAGACAGGGTCTCACTGCGTCACCCAGGCCGCTCTGGAGTGCAGTAGTGCCATCACGGCTCACTGCAACCTCAGTCTCCTGGGCTCAAGTGATCCTCCTGCCTCAGCTTCCCAAGTAGCTGGGACTATAGGCATGTGCCACCACACCCACACATAATTTTTATTAATTTTTTTGTAGAGACCTGTGTTTCTCTGTGTTGCCCAGGTTGGTCTTGAAATCCTGGGCTCAAACGATCCACCCACCTCTGCCTCCCAAAGTGCTGGGATTACAGGTGTGAGCCACCCCACCCAGGTTGCTGCTAATTTTCTGTATGCACACAGTAGAGGCTCACTCGGGACTACAGGAAGTGCCACCCCGAGCCCACTTCCTCACCACAGGCCTTTATCCCTTACCTTTTTATCTTTTCTTTTTTTTTTCTTTCTTTTCTTTTTTTTTTTTTTTTTTTTTTTTTTTTGTGACAGAGCTTTTTGCTCTTGTTGCCCAGGCTGGAGTGCAAAGGCACGATCTCGGGGCTCACCGCAACCTCTGCCTCCTGGGTTCAAGCGATTCTCCTGCCTCAGCCTCCCGAGTAGCTGGGATTATAGGTGCCCACCACCACGCCCGGCTAATTTTGTATTTTTAGTAGAGACGGGGTTTCTCCATATTAGTCAGGCTGGTCTCAAACTCCCGACCTCAGGTGATCCACCTGCCTCAGCCTCCCAAAGTGCTGGGATTACAGGCGTGAGCCACCACGCCCAGTCTATCCCTTACCTTGAATTTTCCTCCCCTCTACTGTCCTAGCCAGACCACACTTACCTGGGTCATGAAAAGGCACCAGGACATAGTGGACAGGCTCCATGGGGCTGCCTCTCCGCTGCTCCACAAGGTGGCGAGCCTGGATTTTGGCAGCGTTGATCTCCTCACCCATGCTGCCCGTGGTGTCCAGGACAAAGCTCAGGCTGGAGGCTGGGGTGATGTCCAGCAGCCTGGGGAGCAAGCCAGAGACACAGTGAAGGGCCTGCACGTTTGTCCCCAGCGCCTGGTTTCTCCCTTCCCGCAGGAGCGCCTCCCCATGAAGGGGTCCATCCCCAGGAGGCCACTCACCTGGAGAAATCCCTGTCTCCCAGGCGGCTTCGCAGAAGGCTGAAGGCCTGGATGGAGGCTAGAAGGGCCAGTTTTGCAGCCTGGAGGTGCAGCATGTGGTGAGGGGAGAAGCCTGGGGATGTGCTGTCCTTGTTGATGCCTCCCCTCGGTGGCTGGGAGCTGCTCCGGTCAAAATGGCCCCCGTGGCTACATTTCCCTGGGTTGGGGAAAGGGATCTGGAGAGTGGAGGTCAAAAACCCACTGCCTCCTAAGAAAATGAGGCCCTTTCAGGCCTGGCCTGACCCTCTCACCCCTCAGCAAGGGTTCAGCAAGAAATGATGACGGGGTTGGCGCGGTGGCTCACGCCTGGAATCCCAGCGCTTTGGGAGGCCGAGGCCGGCAGATCATCTGAGATCAGGAGTTCAAGACCAGCCTGGCCAACATGGTGAAGCTCTGTTTCTACTAAAACTATAAAAATTAGCCAGGTGTGGTGGCGCGTGCTTGTAATCCCAGCTACTTAGGAGGCTGAGGAAGGAAAATAGCTTGATCCCAAGAGGCGGAGGTTGCAGTGAACCGAGATCACGCCACTGCACTCCAGCCTGGGTGGCAGAGCAAGACTCGGTCTCAAAAAATAAATAAATAAATAAATGATGGCTGGGCACGGTGGCTCACACCAGTAATCCCAGCATTTTGGGAGGCTGAGGTGGGTGGATCACCTGAAGTCAGGAGTTTGAGACAAGCCTGGCCAACATGATGAAACCCTGTCTCTACTAAAAGTACAAAATTAGCCGGGCGTGGTGGCACATGCCCGTAATCCCAGCTACTCGGGAGGCTGAGGCAGGAGAATCGCTTGAACCTGGGAGGCGGAGGTTGCAGTGAGCCGAGATCGTGCCACTGTACTCCAGCCTGGGCAAAAAGAACAAAACTCCATCTCAAAAAAAAAAAAAAAAAAAAAGGATAAAAAGGATGGTGCTTTGTGGAGGGGAATTCTGGAGTAAATCTTAGGGCGTGGTGGTCAGTCACCACAGCACATGGTGGATCCCCTGATCCCTCCAGCCAGTCCCCCAAAACTGCCTATGACAAGGGAGAAATCCTATCAGCGGAGGAAGAAGTTGCTCCCCTACCTCAACCCCACCACAGCCTCCTCAGGGGACTTTCCTCCACCCACCCTGTTCCCAGCATCCTCTCCTCCTAGGAGGAGATGCCATAGCAAAGGCATACGGGCCTACAGGACAGAGATCCTGTAAGGGAATGACTTTCTCCCCTTACTTCTGGGGAACTTTCTTGTCTGGTACCTGGAGGTTTCGGGGGATGAGTTCCAAAGTAGCCAGAGGTGAGGAGTGTGAAGCCCAGCCAATTCCTGGGGCAGCTCAACTCCTCGCAATCGGAGCAGGTAGGATCGGCCACTGGGAAGAGAGGGCAGGGCTAGAACCCAAGATTCTGCCACCCCCAGCCTTTATCCCCACCCACCCAAACCTTTTCAGCTTCTCCTCCCAGCTGGGATGAGGCGAACACCCAGAAGTTCCCTAGCAAAGCTTTCTGAACTAAAACCTAGGATCATGGGCCCGCAGTGAGCCTGAATGTTTGAAACTAGGGCTGTGCTGGAAAACACAGCACAGGCTGGGTGCGGTGGCTCACGACTGTAATCCCAGCACTTTAGGAGGCTAAGGCGGGCAGAGCAGCCTGCGCCACACAGTGAGACCTCATCTCTAAAAAATAAATACATAAATAAATAATAAGAAAAAAACAAACACAGTACGTGTAGGGACCAATCCTATGGGGATTATGCCCTCTGTGAGTTGTGGACAGGAGGCAGCTTCCAGGTGAGAGGGTGAGGGGGCTGTGAGAGAAGGCCCCATGGGAGTCAGTGCGGGGAGGAAGCCACACTTAAGACGGGACTGAGGTCTGGAGACCTGGTCCTAGCTACTTTTCCCTGTGTGACCTTGGGGAAGCTGCTTAACTGAGCCAGGCGTTGCTTGGACTGGGGGACCTCAGTCCTTGTGGAGATTAAGTAACATCATACCCTCTGGGACTTCAGAATGTGACACAGTGGCTGGGTGGACTGAGGTGGCCCTGTGGACTCCTGCCTCACCACCAGGGTCACAGCCATACCTTGTGCCAGGTTCTGGAGCTCCTGCCTTGGCCAGAGGAGGTGAGGGTGTGGCTGCTGCTCGCCCAGCTCCACCCAGTTGCTATGACTGTAGAAATCCTGGTCCGGAGGACAGGAGAAGGGGAGTGAGGCACTAGTCTGGCCTTTCTCACCATCTCCAGCACTAATATGCCACTCCTTTGAGTTCCCCATCCCGAAAGTCCCCTCCCACCCCTACTGCTCCCACCAGACACCCCAAGTCCCCTCCACTGCCCTCTCTCCATTGCTCAGAGCAGAGCTTTGCCCAGGTGGAAACTGTCCCAGCATCTCTTCCCAGCTCAGAGTCTAACCCAAGGCCTCTCTCGGCCTGCAGAGTCCTGCTGCGTGTGCTGCTCCCTCAGCTCTCTGACCTCGCAGCCTTCCTCTCTCACCCTCACTTCTCTCCAGCCACAGCGCCCTCCTTGCTGTTCCTACAGGAAGCACTGCCAGCTTGGAGGTGGGGAACTGGGACACAGCCTCGGGGCACCGCGTGCCAGTGCCCACCCCTTCCAGAGTGGAGGAGACATGATCAAGAAGGCACCATAGGACGCGCTCCATCCCGGACAGGCACGGAAGTGAAGACCCCTCTGACCATCAACCCAACCCTGTTCTCACCTGCAGGGCATGAAGTGCAGCCCCGAGGCGCTGGCGAGCCAGGGTGTGGTCAAGGGCCCTGGCTGCCACCACGGTCTCCCGCAGAGCCCCTACCAGGCGCGCGCGTCCCTGACCCAGTCGCTCAGCATCAAAGTGCAGGTCGGGGTCATTCCTGGAAGTTGGCAGGAAGTCCTGGGCTGCATTGGCACGAGACACCTCACCTAAGGCTGCTCGGAACCGCCGAGAAGAACCAGGTCCAAAGTAGGCGGCAAAGAGGTCATCAGCAAGGAGTGTTCGACCCTGGGGAGAATAGCGGGCGACGGGGCTCCAGGGAGGCCCTTTGGATTGACTGTTGCCCACCTTATCTCAGCAACTGACACTCAAGGCTGGGTATGAGGGTCCTGAGCCCCACAAAGGAGGGACAGTCCCGGACCTTTCTAAGGAGGGGGACTCCTAATTTCAGGACCAAGACTACTGGGTATTATTGCTGCAGGGGTGGGGCCATGGGTGTCTCTTCTCTTGGCAACCAGAGCCCTCAAGGAGTAGAGGCCCCATGGAATTGGGGACTCTGGCAGGGGTGTGACAGGACCCTGGGATGCTCACCAGGAAGTCCTCAAGACGAAGAGGGGGGCGGCCTGGGGGTGGCTGCTCCAGGAAGAGCTGCAGGGTGACGTTGAGCGCTGCCTCCTCAGTTAGGTCTTGGTGGGTGATGGAGCCAGGGGCAGCCAGCAGGCTCCAGATGTTGGGGAAGAAGGCAGATGTGGGGGGCAGCAACAGCTGCAGCAGAAGCAACGCTGAGGGGCCCGGGTGGGATTGGGGGACCTCCGTGGGGAGCATGGCTGAGACATGGACCTGGGAGACAGAAGGCTCTCAAGGGAGGAGGAAGCAGCCGCGATTCCAGGGCAGGCCGGCTCTGCGGGTCTCCATGGGAACCTGCTTTACCTCAAAAGTCGTGTCTGCTCCAGCCTGGCTTCCCCACCCTCTCGCTGTCACCCAGACAACCTGAGGGCCTCATCGGACCATTAGGGACATACACACCTGCCAGGAGAGGGGTCCAAGGTTCCTCCCCCACGCCCCCCTCCCCAGTCCCTGGCTGCGTCCCCAGCCCTGCCGCAGAAACACTCCCCATGCTCAGGAAGCCTGAGTCCTCTCAGGCCCTCCCCTACCTGGTTGCTGGGTCTCCTGGGCAGGGCTGGCCCGGGCTTGACGTCACAGGGCACTTAGGTCAGAGTTATAATTAACCGAGGCTCAGCAGAGGGGGAGGAAGGCCTCAACAGGGTGGGGGAGGACAGGCAACCCCTGGCCCTTTCGCTCCTGCCTGCCCAAAGCCACAGGCAGCAGCCCACGCCAGGGCGGGCCTCCCTTGGCTGCAGTGCGGAGGTGAGTGAGAGCTGGGGAGGAGGAAGGGAGTAAGCAGCGTGACTCAGGCCTGGCACAGTGCCAGGGACAGACCCAGATAGACGCACCCCTCTGCCCTCCAGAACCAGGGCCTCACTCCCACCCTGCAGCCCCCAAGGATTCAGGCACCCAGCCCCTCTGCTCCCCTCTCTGCCCCCACCACAGACGACAAGAGGATTTTGTGGGAAAATATTTTATTGCTGCCATCCCCATGGTGAGCCGCTGGGGGTGAGGGGTGAAGCTGGGTGGTGGATCACAGCATCTTCTGGAATAGGGCGATGGCCTCATCCACCTTCCTGAGCTCTGCTTCTGTCTGTTGGAGCTGGAGTGGAACCAGGGGGTGGGTGAGGACCCAGGTCCAAGTGAAGAGACCCCCAAACACCCAGGACAACAAAGTTGGAAAGATGAGCGAGGACCATGGGAGGTCAGTAGCTCAGAGGAGGCGTGAACCTGGCTGGCCTGGCTCCCCACCCATTCCCACCAGCACCCCCACTTCCACCACCACCTCTTGGGTCTTGCCTTTTTCCACCAAGTGGTGAGTCCCCAAGAACAAAGGAACCTCAGAGCCTACGTGTTCCCCATTCAGTGTCCCCACCTAAGCAGGAGAGCACAGTCTCCCAGGCCGGTCACTTCATTTGTCAGATGATGATGATGATATTGCCCCCCTCCCAGGGCTCTTGGGAGAACCAAGTGAGATTAACCACGTCCACTCAAGGCTCTCTAGCTCTTGGCCTCCATGACTGGTTTTCTCTGTGTCTGTGCAGTTTACTCCACTGCTTCTCTCTGGCGGAACCCAGGAGGCAGGGGACAAACAAGACTGGCCTTCCAGGGTCAGCCCAGTAGGCTTGAAAGTAAGTGGTGGGAGGCCCAGGGCTCCCCGACTACATGTGGACCCCAAGCCCAGCCCCAGGCATGCAGGTTTCCACATTTTGGGCAGCTGGGTGGGGTACGAAGGGTCTGGCTGGGAGATAGGATGCCTGGTTCTAGGTCAGCCTCCGTCTCCCACCTGTTGTGTGACCCTGGGTTGTGCCCAGCCCCCAGCTGCTCCCCATGTGTAAGGGGAGGGCCTTCTATGGTCCCTGCTCAAAGCGCCTGGGCTCCATGCTCCCCAGTGGATTCCCCAGGGTTGGGTACAGAGTCCAGCTTCCAGACCAGGATTGGTTTTTGTTTTGTTTTGTTTTTTTTCCAGACAGGGTCTTCTCTCTGTTGCCCAGGCTCAAGTGCAGTGGCATGATCTCGGCTCACTGCAGTCTTGACCTCCCAGGCTCAAGCAATCCGCCCACCTCAGCCCCCCGAGTAGCTGGGACCCCAAGTGTGTGCCACTATGGCCAGCTAATTTTTGTATTTTTGTTGTAGAGATGGGATTTCACCATGTTGGCTGGTCTCAAACCCCTGGGCTCAAGTGATCCACCCACCTTGGCCTCCCAAATTTCTGGGATTACAGGTGTGAGCCACTGAGCCAGGCTGTTTTGTTTTTTAAGGCTAGTGGGAGTGGAGAAGGAACAAAGAAATCTGTAACTGGTTACGATCAATTAGTTGTCAACACCACTGCACTCGGACCAGCCCAGACCAGGGTTTTGATGGAGGAAGGGGATGGTGTGGGAAATGCCCACCCAGGCCACACACCTTGGCTTCATCTGCCTCCTGGACTTCGAGCGGCACCTTGACAGGATAGCCCGAGGCAGCACGGCGTTCCCGCAGACGCTGGGCCTGCCGCTGGGCCTCAACTCGCTTGGCTTGCAGCTTGCCCAGCTCCCGTGCAGGGTCCACCAGCCCCTGAAGCTGCAGGTGGATGGAGCAGCGATCAGAAGCCAGAGCCACAGCGCAACCCTGGGGGGCGGGAGCCCCCAGGGCCAGAACAGCCACCACACCTGCGCTGGCCAGGGCCTGCACGTAGCCCGACACCGCCGATGCCAGGGCGCCCGTGGCCTCATCCGCCACTTCCAGGAAACCTGCCAGGGAGGGAGAAAGGTGAGGCCTAGCTCCATGGAGACAGGAAACCAAGCAGTCACTGCCGGACACTGGGTCCCAGAGTAGGCTGAGGGGACAGTGGGATGGGGCGGACATGGGGGCCTGAGGCTCACAGTCAGGCCGGATCCGGGTGAGGTTGTAGTCGGCCCGCAGGGAGCGCACGGCTCGCGTGATGCTTAGCGCCAGCTCAAGGGCGGCTTCTGCCTCGGGGTCCTTCCAGGAGCACTGTGGGGTGGAGGAGGGGGTGAGGGGGCCTGGAGGGCAGGTCAGACTCCCCTCTCCAGGCCATGCCATACCTCTGAGGGCTCCGGGTAGGGGGTAACACAGAGGCTAGGGGGAGCTTGCGGCATCCTCCGGGGCAGCCTCTGGAACAGCTCCTCCGTCACGAAGGGCATGAAGGGTGAGAGCAGCCGCAGGCCAACGTCCAGGCAAGTGTACAGGGTCTGGCGGGCACACTCAGCTGCCACCTGGTCCACCCCATTCAGTACAGGTTTCAGGCACTCCTAGGGGACGAGAGGTACAGGGCTCACGGCTGGAGGTCTAGCCTTGAGCCCTCGCTGTGCCTGTGAGGACTGGGAAGGGGATGGGTTGGCTTAGGTCTCAAGGCCAACTCTGGCAAAACTGAGCCCAGGGCTCTGCTGCCCACCTGCCCCCACCATCCCCTGCCCCGCTGTGCTCCTTCTCACCAAGTAGACATCACAGAGCTCATAGAGCCAGAAGCTGTACTGGGCAGTGGTGACGGCCGGGAAGTCGTAGGCCTGGAAGCCTTGATTGCTGAGCCTCACAGCCTCTGTCAGGCGGCTGCGGATCCAGCGGTCCACCAGGCTCTCATGGCCTCCGGGCTTGGGGAGAGAGGGTGTATCAGCCGGCGGGCCAGGGGAGGGTGCCAGAACCCCATGGGGGCAGGAGTCATGGGCAAATCTTCATCCAGAGTCTGATGAGTCCAAAGCAACCACCTATGTGCCAGGATCTGGGAAGAAGTGACAGGCCCCAGCCCCCAATGCGCTGGGCTTTCCCTTTAACTGTCTGTCTCTGTGTCTATCTGTCCCCCCAGCTACATGGAGGCTGCTCCGGACAGGGGTACAGCCTGTGTGAGTGCTGCCAGCTTTGCTGCCCACCAGGCCCTTACCTGGGAGGTGGGTGAGGGCACAAAACCCTTCCCAAGGCCACGAAGGGCAAACTTGGTGGCATTCCAGAGCTTGTTGCAGAAGTGGCGGTAACCCAGTATCCGGTTCACATCCAGGTTGATGTCACGACCTGGGTCGGGGGTGAGATGTGAGTCCTCATCACCCTCTTCCCAGCCCATGCCCACCAGAGGCTCAGGGTGGAGAAGAGGGATGGGCCTCACAGAAGGAGGAAGGAGTGGCTGGGAGGGACGCTTTGGGGGCCATACCCTGGGACATGTAGGCACATAATCCAAACCGGAGAGCATCGGTGCCACATTCAGGAATCCCCGCTGGGAAGTCAGCTTTCTACAGGGAAGAGGCAGGGGGAGGAGCGTCCTCAGCCAGCCCCATCCACGCTGTGCTCCTGCTTAGCCCAGCCCAACCCTCCATACCTGCCCTTCTTTGGCCTTCTCCACCTCGCTGGGATCCAGGTTGCTGTTCAGCAGCTGGTTGTGGAGGCCCTGAGGGTGGAGTGGGAGCAGTCAGGTGGCTGTGACCACAGCCCCACGGCCCTTCCTGGCTGGCCCAGCACCCAGCCCACCTGCAGGGAGATTCCATAGATGACGTCCAGGGGATCGATGACATTGCCTAGAGACTTGCTCATCTTCCGGCCGTGAGCATCTCGCACGATGGCATGGAGGTAGACCTGCAGAGCAGGTGGGGAGGCCCATGAGACTCAGTCCTCTCCTTCCCCGGCCTCAGTGCCCCGACCAGGACTGTGTCTGGTCTACCCCACTGTGAACCTCAGGTCCCACTGAGTGTCCCCAAGAGCTCGTTGAGCGCCTTTATGTGAATCAGAAGCACTCCTTCCTCTGGGAAGATGAAGCCCTGGGCACAGGAATCACTGAGCAGGGCCCAGGCTGGATTTCAACCCCACACCAGCCCCCGGGTCAGGCCTGCCCACAGCTAACCCCATGCCCCAGCCACGCGGGGTCTGCGCTGCAGCACAGGACGGTAGGAGAGGAGGCTGGGGGCGATGGGAGGGTCTCGGCTGTCTCCGCACCTCTCTAAAGGGCAGCCTGCCCGTGAGCTTCAGGCCCAGCATGACCATCCGGGCCACCCAGAAGAAGAGGATGTCATGACCGGTCTCCAGCAGTGTCCCGGGGTAGAACACACTCAGGTCTTCTGACTGAGGGCAGACCAGGGTGTGAAGGGGAGCCAACACCCACCCTCCAGTCCCCTGTCCCGCCAAGCCCCGGCCCCAGGAACACACCTGGTTGGGCCAGCCCAAAATGGATAAGGGGAAGAGGCCAGAGGAGAACCAGGTATCCAATACATCCTCATCTGAGAGAGGCCAAAGGTCAGAGGTCAGAGGGAGTGGAGCTCTGCCCCCCACAACTCCCTCCAGACCCTCAAAGCCCCGCCTTGCCTTGCTGGAGACTGATCTTGTCAGGGGACACTCCGAACTCCTTGGCTGCCTTCTCCCGGGCCTCCGCCTCATTGCGTCCACTCACCCAGTACCGCCCATCAGGGTCCTGCCACAGGTGCAGTGATTACCCAAGGGGGTGTGTCTGCTTCTGGCTCACCCTGCCCCTCCCCCCACCAAGGACCCAGTAAACCCACCACTCCAGCAGGGTGTCCCAGCAGCTAGCTCTGGCCCTCTGCTCACCTCCCCAGGGGGCACCGCTGGGTCACTGACAGTGACAAAGTAGGCTGGGATGCGATGGCCCCACCACAGCTGCCTGGAAATGCACCACTCCCTGCAAATGTCGGGGAGGAGAAATCAGGGAGGGCCTGATGGAGCCTGGCCCGAGTGAGCCCTGCTCAGCCCTCGGCAAGCCCCTCCCACACTGAGGACCCTACACACCGGATGTTGTCCATCCAGGCATGCCATGTGCGCTGATGGGCCTCAGGCAGGATGCGGAGGTCACCCCGAGTCACAGCGGCGCTGGCAGCCTGGGCCATCTCCCCGCAGCGAACGTACCACTGCGGCCGCAGCAGAGGCTCTACCACGTCCTTCGACCGGCTGGGGGTACACGTAGGTGAGAAGGCCAGGCGGTAAAACCCTGAGGAGCCCTCCATCTTCCTCCCGTCCCAGGCCCCCACCCTCACTTGCAAAGTGGCACCACCATGGGGTTGTCCTCAATGCCACGGAACAGTCCCCGCTCCTTCAGCGCCACCAGCACCGCTTTCCTGGCCTCAAACCTGGGCAGGCCCTGGGTAGGAATGAGGCCTCATCATGGCGATGCCCAGCCATCCCTCCATCTCCCTGACCCGGGCACTCTTGCCTCAGGCAGCCTCACCAGGAAAGGCGGAGGCACATTGATGAGGGCCCCCCGGGAGTCCATGATGCTGATGGCCTCCAGCCCGTGCCGCTGCCCAACTTCATAGTCATTTTGGTCATGTGCGGGGGTGATCTTCACAGCACCTGGGTGTACATCAGGATGCCCAGGTCATGAGGGACTCCACGGAGTTCCTTCCTACACTCACCTCTTTTGCTGAAGGATGTAGCTCCGAGACCACTCCTGGCCCCCACTTGTCTAATACAGTCCCTTGAGAACCACCCCAAGCTCTGTCTATTTGGCTGAAGCTTATTTTCTTTTTCTCTGAGAGAAGATGGACAGCTAGGGTGCAGCTCCAGTCTTTTCCTCTCCCCACAGGACCAGCCCCTTGCCCACCTGTGCCAAAGTCCATGTCCACAAATTCATCGAAGACAATGGGAAGGCTCCGAGACAGGAATGGGTGGATCACGTTCTTCCCCTTCAGGTGCTGGGGGCGGAAAGATACCAAAAACGCATGAAGCAGGGCCAGACGCCGTGATTCCCACCTGTAATCCCAGAACTTTGGGAGGCTGAGGTGGGCAGATCACTTGAGGCTGGGAGTTGGAGACCAGCCTGGCCAACATGGGGAAACCTAGTCTCTACTAAAAATACAAAAAAAAAATTAGCCAGGTGTGGTGACGCGTGCCTGTAATCTCAGCTACTCAAGAGGCTGAGGCACAAGTACTGCTTGAACCCGGGAGGTGGAGGTTGCAGTGAGCCAAGATGGTGCCACTGCACTCTAGCCTGGGCGATAGAGTGAGACCCTCTCTCAAAAATAAATAAATAAATAAAAGCATGAAGGGGCCTGGTGCCATGGCTCACATCTCTAACCCCCACACTTTGGGAGGCTGGGGCAGGAGGCTTCCTTGAGGCCAGGAGTTCAAGATCAGCATGGTTAACAGAGTGAGACCTTGTCTCTATTTAACTTTTTTTTTTTTTTTGAGACGGAGTCTCGCTCTGTCACCAAGGCTGGAGTGCAGCAGAGTGATCTCAGCTCACTGCAACCTCCGCATCCCAGGTTCAAGCGATTCTCCTGCCTCAGCCTCCTGAGTAGCTGAGATTACAGGCACCCGCCACTACAACTGGCTAATTTTTTGTATTTTTAGTAGAGATGGGGTTTCACTATGTTGGCCAGGCTAGTCTCGAACTCGTGACCTTATGATTCACCTGCCTCAGCCTCCCAAAGCGCTGGGATTACAGGCATGAGCCACCGTGCCTGGCTATTTAACTTTTTAAAAATGCACGAAGGGCTGGGCCCAAGTCCTTCCTTTCCAGGGCCCTGACTATCCCAACACTTGAACTCCCCCAAACAGTCCCCAATAGCTCTACCCTCAGAGCTGGGAAAGAAGCTGAAGACCAGTTTCTAACCCAGTTTCCTCTCCTCAGCCAGGGGCCTAAGTCCAACCCCTCCACCCCATAAGGATGGGAGCCCTTTTTGGCCAGAACTCCTTCCCTAACTGTGGACAGTCCCCCACCTGGTATCTGGTATCTTTGGGGTGCACAGCTACAGCCACATCTCCCAGCATTGTCTCGATCCGAGTTGTTGCCACCACCACCTCCTCGTCGCTATCTGGGGTGACAGAAGGCCTTGTGGTCTTGGCCTTGGCCCCTTCCTGCCACTCCCAGCCCAGGATCCTGGTGCCCCTGGCTCCTACCTGAGCCTTGGACCTTATAGGCAAAGGACACGAGGACCCCGAACTCCACCTTCTCCTTGTAGCCAGGCACGGAGAGCAGGGTGCGACCTGTCAGCTCCTTCTTATCCACCTGTAAAATGGGTATTTAGAGGCGTGGCCCAGGGGCCAGGGCCAGGGCCAGGGTAGATTGGAGATGGAGACAGGCCAGGTTGGGGGGCGCACCTCAATGTCAGAGATGGCGGAGTTGAGGGTGCAGGACCAGTTAACAAGGCGGGTACTGCGATAGATGATGCCTTCCTCGTGAAGCCGGACAAAGGCCTCTGTCACAGCTGCTGAGAGTTTCTGGGGTGGAGGAGGGAGAAGTCAGAGAGATGGGCCTTGTGCCTGGAGGCCCAGGCAGACACCCAGGGCTCCAGTGAGGCCTTGCCCATACAGAGTCCCACTGGCCAGCACAAAGACCCCTCTGAGGGGAGTACTTTCCTTCTTTCCTTGAGGGGGAGAGAGGACTAAGGGAACACAAGAGCAGGCAACAAGCCTTGTAATGCTGCAGATGGCGAGGAAGACAATCAGCTGGGGACAAGTACTGGTGCAGAGGACACTGGGAGTTCAGGCTCCATGGGAGACGGGGTCCTGATCATGTGCCATCTGGAGGAATCTGGAGCTCCCAGAGCCAAGACAGGGAACATGAAGGGCCATGATATGGAAAGGGCCATGGCGAGGGGTGGGAAGTGGCATTTGCAGCTGAGCCCTCCATGGTGTTTTACATGGGCCAGCTCCTGAGAGAGGGCCACAACACCTCTGCTTTCTCCTGTGGGGGTCCCACCCTGGGGAGACTCCTACTCCTGCCCCAGCTTTGACACTCCTCCCACGCACAGGGTCCATGGTGAAACAGGCTCGATCCCAGTCCAAGGAGCTGCCAAGCTTCTTCAACTGGTGGTAAATCCGGTCACCTTTCCTGGAAGCAGACAGGCTGAGGTCAGCACTCGTGCCTGGGCTAGAGGGAGACATCAGGTGGCTGACTGGGCAGTGTGGAGATCACCCATCCCCCTGAAATTTACCTGGGCCCTAGAGCCAACTGACTCTGCCTCTGTGGGAGGGTCTGACCCTGTGGCCAAGGGGTTACAGGTGACAGAGGTCTTCTGGATAGGGGACAGGGAGGCAGGGCTGCGATGCCCACAGGGATGCTGCATACTCACTCCTCCTTCCACTTCCAGACTTCCTGTAGAAAGGCCTCGCGGCCCAGCTGGTGCCGGCTCAGTCCCTGCTCACGCCATAGCTTCTTCTCCACCACCACCTGGGTGGCAATACCTGCATGGTCACAGCCAGGGTTCCACAGGGTGGTCTCCCCACGCATGCGGTGCCTGTTAGGGGGCATGGAGGACCAGAGGGTGAGCCAGGCCAGTGGGGCCTGGCACCAAAGAAAGCAGAGGCTTCAGGCAAGGAGTCAGTGGACTAAATAAAGAAGCAGGGAGGCCGGACGCGGTGGCTCACGCCTGTAATCCCAGAACTTTGGGAGGCTGAGGTGGGTGGATCACCTCAGGTGGGGGAGTTCGAGATGAGCCTGGCCAACATGGTAAAACCCCGTCTCTACTAAAAATACAAAATTAGCTGGGCATGGTGGCATGCGCCTGTAATCCCAGCACTTTGGGAAGCCGAGGTGGGTGGATCACCTGAGGTGGGGACTTCAAGATAAGCCTGGCCAATATGGTAAAACCCTGTCTGTATTAAAAATACAAAATTAGCTGGGCGTGGTGGCATGTGCCTGTAATCCCAGCTACTTGGAAGGCTGAGGCAGGAGAATTGCTTGAACCCGGGAAGCAGAGGTTGCAGCAAGCTGGGATCATGCCATTGCACTCCAGCCTGGGTGACAGAGTGAGACTCCGTCTCCAAAAAACAAACAAAAAAAAAAAGAAAGAAGCAGGGGTGGAGCTGGAACCCTTGTGATTCTAAAGCTAGTCAAGGAGAAAAGATTTGAAGGAAGAGCCAAGGCAATATGGAAAAAGAACAAAGACAGGCATGCGTGGTGGCTCACACCTGTAACCCCAGGACTTTGGGAGGCCAAGGCGAGTGGATCACTTGAGGACAGGAGTTCGAGACCAGCCTGACCAACATGGCAAGACCCTGTCTCTACCAAAAATATAAAAATTAGCCAGGATGGTGGTGCATACCTGTAATCCCAGCTACTTGGGAGGCTGAAGCACGAGAATCGCTTGAAGCTGGGAGGGGGAGGTTGCAGTGAGTTGAAATTGTGCCACTGCACTCCAGCCCGGATGACAGAGTGAGACTCTGTCTCAAAAAAAAAAAAAAAAAAAAAAAAAAAGAACGAAGAGGAGGCTCCTGCCAAACAGGATAGCAAAAGTTCTAATTGTTAAAATAAGTTACTAAACAGGAACAAAATAGTACCTGGAAACAGATACAAGCAAATTTAGTGTTTGTGAAAGTTGGCACTTCCTATCAGTAAAATAAGGATAAACTATTCAAAATGTTTGAAACAACTAGCTAATTATTTGGAAAAAATCTCCCCCTTACCAATAGTCACAAAAAGAAACTTTAGATAGATTAAAGAATTCAAGCCAGGCACAGTGGCTCAAGCCTATAACCCCAACACTTTGGGAGGCCAAGGTGAGAGGACTGCTTGAGCCCAGGAGTTGCAGACTAGCCTGGGCAACATAGTGAGACCTAGTCTCTGCAAAAAAAAAAAAAAAAAAGCCAGGCATGGTGGCGTGCACCTTTGTTCCCAGCTACTTGGGTGGCTGAGGTTGAGGCTGCACCAAGCTATGATTGTGCTGTGATCATGCCGATGCACTCCAATCTGGCCAACACAGTGAGAGAGACTCTGTCTCAAAAATAAATAAATAAACAAATAAATAAAAATAAAAAGTTGATATAACTCTATTCCATTAAAGTAATGGGAGTGTCTCACATTTTATTTAAACCACGTTCACTGGAAAAAAAATGTGGCTACCTTAAGAGTTTTATAAGAAGTATGTGGCCAGGCACAGTGGCTCACACCTGTAATCCCAGCACTTTGGGAGGCCGAGGCAGGCGGCTTACTTCAGGTTAGGAGTTCAAGACCAGCTTGGCCAACATGGCAAAACTCTGTCTACTAAAAATGCAAAAGAATTAGCTGGGCGTGGTGGTGCGTGCCTGTAGTCCCAGCTACTCAGGAGACTGAGACACAAGAATCGCTTGAACCCAAGTGGTTGAGGTTGCAGTGAGACGAGATCGCGTCACTGCACTCCAGCCTGGGCGACAGAGCGAGACTCTGTCTCAATTAAAAAAAAAAAAGTAGTCATTCTGTTTTCATGTAAACAAACTTGGAGGCCAGGTATGGTGGTTCATGCCTGTAGTCCCAGCACTTTGGGAGACTGAGGCAGGAGGATTGCTTGAGCCCAGAAGTTCAAGACCAGCCTGGGCAACATAGCGAGACCCTCTCTTGATTTTATTAAAAAATTGAAAAACAGGGCCGGGCGTGGTGGCTCACGCCTATAATCCCAGCACTTTGGGACGCCGAGGTACGCGAATCACGAGGTCAGGAGATCGAGACCATCTTGGCTAACACGGTGAAACCCCGTCTCTACTAAAAATACAAAAAAAATTAGCCAGGCGTGGTGGTGGGCTCCTATAGTCCCAGCTACTCAGGAGGCTGAGGCAGGAGAATGGTGTGAACCTGGGAGGAGGAGCTTGCAGTGAGCAGAGACTGCGCCACTGCACTCCAGCCTGGGTGACAGAGCAAGACCCCATTTCCAAAGAAAAAAAAAAAATTGAAAAATTGAAAAAACAAAAACGCAAACACAAACGCAAACAACTTGGCCATTGTATGTTATGTGTATTTAACAGAACTGTTGGCTGGACGAAGTGGCTCATGCCTGTCATCCTAGCACTTTGGGAGACCGAAGCGGGAGGATCACAAGGTCAGGAGCTCGAAACAAGCCTGACCAACATGGTGAAACCCCGTCTCTACTAAAAATACAAAAATTAGCCAGGTGTGGTGGCATGCGCCTGTAATCCCAGCTACTCAGAAGGCTGAGGCAGGAGAATCGCTTGAGCTCAGGAGGCAGAGGTTGCAGTAAGCGCGCATCACTGCACTCCAGCCTGGGAAACCGAGAGAGACTCTGTCTCAAAAAAACAAAAAAAACAAAAAAAAAAACAGGCCAGGCGCGGTGGGTCACGCCTGTAATCCCAGCACTTTGGGAGGCCGAGGTGAGCAGATCATGAGGTCAAGAGATCGAGACCATCCTGGCCGACAGGGTGAAACCCTGTCTCTACTAAAAAAAATACAAAAAATTAGCCAGGCGTGGTGGCGGGCGCCTGTAGTCCCAGCTACTCAGGAGGCTGAGGCAGGAGTATGCTGTGAACCTGGGAAGCAGAGCTTGCAGTGAGCCAAGATTGCGCCACCGCACTCCAGCCTGGGCGACAGAGAGAGACTCTGTCTCAAAATAATAATAATAATAATAAAAATAAAAAAATAAAACATATAACTGTTTTCCTAGCTCTCAGTTACTTGCAAAATGCACAATCAAACATTATATTCCCAGTGCTCAGAGCAGAGGTGGCACATAGTTGGGCCCAGTAAATATTTTTTGACCACATTAATTTAGTACATAAGACACCAGAAAAAATTCTCAAAATTTAAATATAATAAACCCTGGTTTCCAAAAATGGTAAAGTTATTTTAAAATACTTTTTAAAAAGATTTGTCACCTAGAATATTACTTTGTATTTATCACTAATTAAAATATTAACAGTGAAAACAAATAGTAACAGAAAACAGGAGAAACATTTACAATTAACAGGAAAACTACCACACAATAATACAACAAAAACATTTACAATATTTAACAAAAAAATTGATACCCAGAACAGGTAAAGAATTCTCAAAAAAAAAATTAAAAAGAAAAAGAACGAAGAATCAATAGAAAAACGGGGAAAAGATAGATACAGACAATTCACATATGGGTAAACCTGACTGGCCAAAAAACATGAAAATAGGCACAACTTCAATAGCAATCAGAAAGGTACAAAGTAAAACAACAGAGGTATTTTTTTGCCCATCAGATTGGCAAAACTAATTAGGCAACCCTAATGCTCAGGCTTAGCAAGGGTGGGGAAATGAACACTCTCACAGCAATTCCTGGAGGTATCAATCAGCAAAGCCATTCTGCAGGGCAACTTGGCAGCTTCCGTTTGTACTTAATATAGGTGTGCCCCTGCCGACCTAGCAGTTTCACTTCTTGATAGCTACACCAGCGAAACCCTTCCACACATGCTTCAGCAAGCATATAGAGCAGGGGTATCCAATCTTTTGGCTTCCCTGGGCCACATGGAAGAATTGTCTTGGGCCACAGATAAAATACACTAACACTGGCTGGGAGCAGTGGCTCACGCCTGTAATCCCAGCACTTTGGGAGTCCGAGGCGGGCGGATCACGAGGTCAGGAGATCGAGACCATCCTGGCTAACATGGTGAAACCCCGTCTCTACTAAAAATACAAAAAAAAAATTAGCCGGGCGTGGTGGTGGGCACCTGTAGTCCTAGCTACTTGGGAGGCTGAGGCAGGAGAATGGCGTTAACGTGGGAGGCGGAGTTTGGAGCTTGCAGTGAGCCGAGACTGTGCCACTGCACTCCAGCCTGGGTGACAGTGCAAGACCCGTCTCAAAAAATAAATAAATAAATAAATAATAAAAATAAATTTAAAAAAATACACTAACACTAACGATAGCTGATGAGCTAAAAAAAAAAAATCGCAAAAAAATTCTTAAATGTTTAAACAAAGTTTACAAATTTGTGTTAGGCTGCATTCAAAGCCGTCCTGGGCCGCATGTGGCCCACAGGCTGCAGGTTGGACAAACTTGATATACAGGGATGTGCATTAGAGTAAGGTTTTCAACAGAAAAAAAACAAAAAACAAAAAACAGAATGAATCATTAATTAAAAAGTGACTCCAGGCCGGGAGCAGTGGCTCACGCCTGTAATCCCAGCACTTTGGGAGGCCGAGGCAGGCAGATCACCTGAGGTCAGGAGTTTGAGACCAGCCTGGCCAACATGGTGAAACCCCATCTCTACTAAAAATACAAAAATTAGCCAGGCGCGGTGGCAGGTGCCTGTAATGCCAGCTACTTGGGAGGCTGAGGCAAGAGAATCGCTTGAACCTAGGAGGTGGAGGTTGCGGTGAGCCGAGATCATGCCACTGTACTCCAGCCTGAGCAAAAAGAGTGAAACTCTGTCTCAAAAAAAAAAAAAAAAAAAAAAAAAAAAAGAATGACTTCACTATGGTACAGCCACACTATGAGATATTATGGAACAATTAAAAAGAAGGAAGTCAGTATGTGTGGTATGTGTGTAAGGACAAGGAAAGATCTCCAAGAGAAAGTATTAAGTGTAAGAAGAAAGCTAGATCATAACAAGTGTAATATGAACCCTTTATGTTAAAAAATAGAAAAGACTCACCCAAAAGGAGAACTATAAATTTCTATGGGTACGTGTATATGTAAGTAAATAGGAAAGATCTGGGAAGATACACATCAAAGTGATAACAATGGCTAAATCTTAGGAGGAAGTAGGTGTGGAGGGGGATGGTCAAGGAGATTTGAAACTTTAAATTTCTTACAAGAATATATTCATATATTTTGGTCAGTTGTGGTGGCGCATTCCTGTAATCCCAGCTACTTGGGAGGCTGAGGCAGGAGAATCACTTGAACCCAGGAGGCAGCGGTTGCCATGAGCCGAGATGGCGTCACTGCACTCCGGCCTGGGCAACAGAACAAGACTCTGTCCCCCCAAAAAAAAATATATATATTCATATGTTCCTAATTAAATTCAAAATAATGTTATTGTTACTAGAAAAAGAAGGGAGAGACTGGGTGTGGTGCCTCACACCTATAATCCCAGCACTCTGGGAGTCTGAGACAGGAGAATCACTTGAGCCAGGAGTTGGAGACCAGACTGAGCAACAAAGTGAAAACTCATCTTTACAAAAAATTAAATTAAATTAAATTAAAATTAAATAAAGAAAGAAGGGATAGAAGAGAGTCTGCAAGTGGCGGTGTTGCATGGGAGTACTGGACTAGGAGAGGAAGCTAAATGATCAGATTGGAATGACAGAGAGAAGTGTAGCACCACTGGGGGCAGAAGTGAGCACCAACCCAGAAGGAGAGAGGCTCGGGGGGCTGTCAGGGAAAAGGAGAGAGCCAGACTAGGCAGAGGGAACCAGAGGAAGGTGCAGATAGAAGCTCACCATCGAGTCAGGGAGTCCTGGATGGCGTTGGTGAGTGCATGGCCCAGGTGCAGGGAGCCTGTCACATTGGGGGGTGGGATGCACATCATGAAGACACCTCGGGGATTTGCTGCTGACACATTAGGACGCTGATGGTGGAGAAGGATGGCACATGTTTAAGGCCTCAGGTCACCTCTCCCAGCCCCTCCCAGGCAACACATCCTTCAGTCCTGCCCTTCCCCACCCCACCCACTCTGGGCCTGGGCAGCAGTGCCTACTCACCCCATACTCTGGCTTGAAGAAGCCCTGCTGCTCCCACCAAGGGTACCAGGCAGCCTCCACATACCGAGGGCTGTAGGAGTCGGGCATGGGGCCACTGACATCTGGGGGAGAGGAAGGGAGGGCTCAGTGCCGTGGCTGGGAGCACTCTGGGAAGGAGACGTGCTGGCAGAGAGGGATCGGGATCTCCGTCACTCACATCATAGGACAGGCATTTGAGGGGCCTAGAGGCAGGGCAGGGGGTCTGCAATTCCTCACCAAACAAAGTGGTGAGAGCAAGAATAGAGCAAGATAGGGTGAAAACTTAGAAGGGGCTGCTGAGGGGTGAGCCCCTTCCCACTCCTAGTACCTTTCTTTTCCCCGGGTGGGGTTGGGAGGTCATAGGTAATGACCCCAGGATCCCGTTTCTCCCTCTTCTCTGGTTTTGGTTTCTTCTGCTTGGGAGGGAGAAGACATAGGCCCAGGCATCAGCCAACCCATCACCGCACACATCAACTTTCCTTCCAGCTCCACCCTCGCCTCACCTCCCCTGGAGGTGGCTGCTGCTGTTGGATCTTCTGCTTCTGTTGGAATTTCTCTAGCTTCTCCCGTTTCTTTGCCTCTTTCTTGAGCTGAGCAGCTGTCTTTGGGAGGGCAGGAGCCTCGGGGCCTAGAGAGAGGTGCAGAAATTCAGACTCAGCCAGCTGGGGACCCTCTTGGACGGCCATACTAGGTTTCAGATGGGGTATTTTAGATGCCCGAGGTCTTGCCCATGCTGACCTCCCCCCTCTCCCTCCTCTCCCGCAGGACCCTGCCCCAGTGATTCTGCCATTTCTAGGAAAAAAAGAAAGTGAGTTGCATGGAAGGCCCCAGGGAAGCCCCTATCCTCCAACTCCTCGCCCTTCCTCACCTGGCTGATGAGAGAGAGGCCTGGCTCCTGAGTATAGAACCACTTCTCCTAGCACGGCTCGGAATTCTGGCTGCCGGACACACGTGACAAACCAGCGAGTCACATTATTCCAGATCCGGCGGGCAGGTGGGTCTAGGACCTGGAACAGGAAATAAATGACTCTTCTCAGTCACCCTACAGTGAGGTCTGAGGAGAGCAGTCTTGTTCTTCCCCAGGCCTGGTGACTCACGTATCGGAAAGGCAGCAGCAAGGCTGTGACAGCCGCCAGGTCAGCCAGAGTGGGGGCCTCCCCGGCCAAGTAGGTGTGCAGCCGAAGCCACTCCTCCAAGGGGCTCAGGGCCCTGCCCAGGGCCCCCAGCACAGCCTGGCAGGAAGGGGAAGAAGTGTGAGACAAGGTTTGGCCCACCTCCATCTCCCACCACAACCCAATCCATGTGGCCTCCCTCCACCCCACTCTCACAAATCACCACCTCTGAGTCCCATTTCTTCACTCAAATAGTCACAATAAAAATACTTCTGGGCGGATCACGAGGTCAGGAGATCGAGACCATCCTGGCTAACATGGTGAAACCTCATCTCTACTAAAAATACAAAAAAAAAATAGCCAGGCGTGGTGGCGGGCGCCTGTAGTCCCAGCTACTCGGGAGGCTGAGGCAGGAGAATGGCATGAACCCAGGAGGTGGAGCTTGCAGTGAGCCGAGATCACGCCACTGCACTCCAGCCTGGGCAACACAGCGAGACTCCGTCTCAGAAAAAAAAAAACAAAACACTTCTGACTCATCCAACAAATCCCTACTCAATACTTATGTGTTAGATGCAATATGTTAAGCATAGAAGTAAAGATTATATGAGGCATCTCAATAACTGCCAGGTTCAGAACATCAATAAATATGTATTAAGTACTTCTCCAGGGAATGAGAGGAAAACACGAACAGATGGACAGAACCCTGACCTGGTAGAGTTAACATTCTTGTAGGGGAACAACAAATGAGCAAATATAAAATGAAGTGCCCTATTTTTCTTAACTCCTATGAAGAAAAATAAAGCAGAATGAGGGGAACAGGGGCCAGGCGTGGTGGCTCACACCTATAATCTCAGCACTTTGGGAGGCCGAGGCGAGCAGACCATCTGAGGTTAGGAGTTCGAGACCAGCCTGGTCAACATGACAAAACCCCATCTCTACTAAAAATACAAAAAATTAGCCGGACAAGGTGGTGGGCGCCTGTAATCCCAGCTACTCAGAAGGCTGAGGCAGGAGAATCGCTTGAGCAGTGAGCTGAGATCGCACCATCGCACCGTGGCACTCCAGCCTGGGCAACAGAAGGAGATTCTGTCTCAAAAAAAAAAAAAAAAAAGAAAAGAAAAGAAATAAAAGAGGGGAACAAACAGGGAATTCCAGAAGAGAGGGACTCTATTTTATTTGTTTGTTTGGACAGACATTCTGAATGCAAGGACTCTATTGTAGATAGGGTGATCACAATATGAGGGAGCAAGTCAGGGTCTGCCACATTCATTCATCCATTCAAGAAATACTAATTTTCCATCATGTGCTCAATACCATGCAAGGAGGCAGAGTTGAAAGTACACCAAGGCACAGGTCTCCTTTGGAAGGACTGATAGTTACAATCTGGCAGGGTTATCTCTCCTCTCACTTACCTTCCTCATTTCATTTCTCTTTTATCTCCTCCCAGCAATTGTCATCTCTCCCTCACCCAGTCTTTTCCTACAATTCAAATAACTTCTATCCTCATCAATTTCAGACTCATCAAACTTTTACTAAGAGACTTTAAAAGTGCCTGGCACTAAACTATGTGCTCTGCGCACATCTTTTAATCCTATTAACTCAGTGAGGCAAGCATTACATCAACTTGCCTGCGTGTTCATAGACATAGGAAGACCAAGACACAGCGGGTCTATGAAACGTGCCCAGGGTTACCATACCAGTTGGCAATCTGGGATTTGATCACTCTTTTCCCACATCTGATGTACTACCTTCTTGTCTCATTGTCCATTCCAGTCCTCGCTTCCCTCCTCTGAATTTCTCCCCTCCCCCTCTTCTGTACAACCCCCTCACCTGGGGGTCCTGGGCCGAGCTTCGGAGTCCCAGGGCCGGCAGCGTTGCTCCACAGGCAGCTGGTATTAACTCCGTGTCGGCGTAACTGACCCACTGTTGGACAAGGACAGCCGCCCGGCTGCCCCCTGGGCCCCCCAGGCCTGCTGGCCACAGCAGCTGGGCCACAGCCGTGGCCCCCCACACCCAGAGCCCACCGGGCCCCTGCTCCAGGGCCGGCAGGCGGGGTGGGGGAAAGGGAGTCCTGCTAGTCGGGGGTGGCTGGAGACAGATGCGGGGGTGGGCTCCTCCCCATCCGGGACCCTCCCCAGCCTCCCCATAGCGAGCGGCTATGAGGGCTCGGAGGCTGGGGAAGGCATCTGGGTGAGGGGAGACGTAGAGGGTGGACATAGTTATGAGAAGGTCCGAACGAAGTGGAAAAACCTAAGGAGAAAGAGAGACAGGGGAAGACTGCGGGATCGAGGTGGGTCCTATGTTTGAGTAGAGAGGGGACCCTCACGGGAGCTCCTTCGCCGCAGACACCCGAGTCCCATAGGACTGAGGGTCTGACCAGGCAGGCTGTCAGGAGCCGAGGACCTGGCTCTCAGAGGGGCAGTGTCAGTGGGGAGTTCCTGGGGAAGAGGAACTATCCACCATCGCGGGGCTTCGGGGAGTGTGGAAGGCTCTCAGGAGCGGGTCGGCGTCTGGTTGGATGCGGGTTCGAGCCGCGTGTACGTACTGGAGGGAGATGGTCAGACTGGGCCGGGAATCCACCTCACAGCCAGGCGCCGGCCGCGGCTGGACCGGCCGAGCGGCCCGGGCGGAGGAGTCGAGCGGGCAGAGACGGTGGGCGGCTCTCCAGGTGACCCTAGTTCCCTAAGATCGCCGCCCCGGCAGCCGGCGCCCACGTGTTCCCCCCTTTGTGACAGGGAGCGTTTCCGGGCCTGCGGGTCCTGGCGGGGGCGGCCGTGCCCCGCCTGCGAGTGCGCGCCCGCCGTGTCCGACACTGCCCCGGGGGCCGCGCGGCTCGCCGCCCGCCGGTCTCACGAGGAACAGCGCGGGGCGCGGGGCGCTGGGCGCGGACGCAGGACGAGAGGACACCCCTGAGCACGACGCTCCCGTCAGGCGCCGCCACGGGCACCTTGTGCGGGTCCTCGGCCGGGTGGCGAGGGCGGCGCCCAGCGGGCAGCTAGGGAACTGGCCCAAGAGGGTCGGCCGGCCCTGCCGGTGGAGGGCGTTCCCCACCCGGTAGCGGGGAGGTGCCCAGCAGGGAGCCGCCTGATGAGGACCGAAGGGGAGGTCCATTTGCCGAGGCCCTGGCGTCCAGCTTCCTCTTTGAGCCTCATCTCCTCATGTATGAAAAAAGGGTGACGGCCGGGCGCAGTGGCTCACGCCTATAATCCCAGCACTTTGGGAGGCCGAGGTGGGCGGATCACCTGAGGTCAGAAGTTCAAGACTAGCCTGGCCAAGGTGGTGAAAGCCCGTCTCACGCCTGTAATCCCAGCACTCTGGGAGGCCAGGGCGGGTGGATCACCAGGTCAGGAGTTCAAGACCAGCCAGGCCAAGATGGTGAAACCCCGTCTCTACTAAAAATACAAAAATTAGCCAGGTGTGGTGGCAGGCGCCTGTAATCCCAGCTACCCCGGAGCCTGAGGCAGGGAATTGCTTGAACCCTGGAGGTTGAGGTTGCAGTGAACTGAGATCGTGCCACTGCACTCCAGCCTGGCGACAGAGCTGCAGTATTTGTAAAAATACAAAAATTAGCCAGGCGTGGTGGCACACACCTGTAAGCCCAGCTACTTGGGAAGCTGAGGCAAGAAGATCACTTGAACCTGGGAGGCGGAGATTGCAGAGCTAAGATCACACCACTGCAGTCCAGCCTGGGTGACAAAGTGAGACTCCATCTCAAAAAAAAAAAAAAAAAAAAAAAATTAGCCGGGCATGGTGGTGGGCATCTGTAATCCCAGCTACTCAGGAGCTGTGGCAGGAGAATCGCTTGAACCGGGAGGCGGAGGTTGCAGTGAGCCAGACCAAGCCAGTGCACTCCACCCTGGGCAACAGAGTGAGACTCCCGTCTCAAAAACAAAAAGGAGGGTCACACTAGATGGTCTCTAAGGGTCCCTTAAGGCTGAGAAGTCTCATCTGTATCATGAACTCATATTTGCTGAATGAGTGAATGAAGTTTAGTAATTCCCAGTCACAACTTTTCTCTAAAATATAAATTACATCACTTGTATTTATCTTCTATACATATTCAGAAAACATGAACTGATTTGGTTGGATTGGTGAAGTCTGGTAGCATGAAATGTATCTTATGACACTATCACATTAATGGAAGGACAGCAAGCACTCCAGTTGCAGGTATGGTATAAGCAAAAGGCCACAGGGAGAACATACAGGTAGGGACATGTTGGGGAAACATGGTGTAGAGCAACTGTATTATATGCTTTATACCAAGGAGAGTAGTGGGAAGCTGAGTTGGATTCTTGGCTGGGTTAACGCAGAGTAACAGGGGCTTGGATGAATTCGACATCCTTTTCCATGTCCCAGCCCCCTGCCCAACACATAGTAACAGAACCAAAACACAAATTTGCATCATAAATTTTATTCCCGATGCGGGACAGATTCCTTCCATCCCCAAATGAATCACATGCTGCCCTGGAAAGACCTAGGAAACTCTCCTACCATCTCCAGAGAAGTAGTGAGAAAGGCAGGTGCTGGGGACTGGGAAGGCTTTGAAGTTTCCCAGCCTACTTATCCTCCCCTTCTCAAGAGAGGATAGCTGTTCCCTATTACTCCTCTCATCCACTCATCCCTTAAAAAAAACCCACAAAACCATCATTAGTAAAAAAACAAAACCCCTTCAAGTATTGGGGGTTAGGGGTTCTGGGCTGGGACTTGGGGTTATGGGTCACCAATGAAAGAGGGAGGGGAAGAGGAGGAGGAGCCATCACTGTTTCTGCTGCAGGGCTTCCTTCCTTGCCGCATCCTGTAGCAACTGTGTGTCGACCTCATCTGCTGGCAGCTGCACGTATCGGACCACTGAGCCCCGAATGAAGCAGTTCTTCACTGATAACTAGACAAAGATGGACAAATATGAAAACACCCTTAAAAATGTCCTCTAACCACCCAGGGGCCTCCTGCTTTAGAGGTGTTTCCTCTTCTCCACAGACCCCAACTCACCATGTGAGGGTATTTCTCAGGGTCTGTGACACTGATGTCAGTTAGTTTGATGTTGAGATACTAGGAAAGGAAGATGAACACCATTATTATTATTATTTTTTTTTTTTTGAGACAAGAGTTTTGCTCTTGTTGCCCAGGCTGGAGTGCAATGGTGCCATCTCGGCTCACTGCAATCTCCGCCTCCTGGGTTCAAATGATTTTCCTGCCTCAGCCTCTCGACTAGCTGGGATTACAGGTGCCCACCACCACGCCCAGCTAATTTTTTGTATTTTTAGTAGAGACGGGGTTTCACCATGTTTGTCAGGCTTGTCTTGAACTCCTGACCTCAGGCCTCGGCCTCTCAAAGTGCTGGGATTACAGGCGTGAGCCACCGTGCCTGGCCGACGAACACCATTATTAACCCTAGAGACATGATGTAAGAACCCAACCCTTAAGTCTCCCCTCTCCTTCTCCAGGAACCAATTCTGGGGCCCGTGCTATATCTCACCTGATCCACAGAATGGAGGGTTCCACAGATGCTGTCAAGGGCAGAGGGAGAGAAGAATCAAATTAGTTTATAACAAAGTCAACATAGAGGTGACTTCAGAGCTGGGATGAGAACATGACTGGGAGAAGTCAAGGACTTGAGGATGTCAGAAAAGGTAGAACCAAAAGGGGGCATTCCTAAGCCCTGGAGTAGGAAAGACAACTAACAGAGTAGTTTATTTTCAACCCCACATCTCCTCTCCCTAAACCAATCCATTCTTTTTTTTTTTTTTTTTTTTTTTTGAGATGGAGTCTCACTGTCAGCCAGGCTGAAGTGCAGTGGTGTGATCTTGGCTCACTGCAACCTCTGCCTCCCAGGTTCAAGCGATTCTCCTGCCTCAGTCTCCTGAGTAGCTAGGACTTCAGGCGCATGCCATCATGCCCGGCTAATTTTTTATTTTTAGTAGAGATGGGGTTTCACCATGTTGGCCAGGCTGTTCCTTAACTCCTGATCTCAGGCGATCTGCCCACTTCAGCTCCCCAAAGTGCTGGGATTACAGGTGTGAACCACTGTCCCCGGCCAAACCAACCTATTCTTAACAGCTACCATTAAACAACTGGTAAAGGCTAGACCTGTATTCTATATAGTATTTGTAATCTTTACAGCCATCTTTCAAAGTAGTTATTACCTTCCAGGGGCTCAGAGAGGTTGTTTTAAACTTTATGAGTTTAGAACAAATGGGAACTTCAGTCCAAGTCTGTGTGACTCCCAAAACCATCAGCTATTTTTTTTTTATTTTTGCGACAGGGTCTCACTCTATGGCCAAGGCTGGAGTGAAATGGCGTGATCATGGCTCACTGTGGCCACTTGAGTAGCTGTGATTACAGGCTTGAGCCACCATGCCCAGCTGATTTTTTTTTGAGATGGAGTCTCGCTCTGTCGGCCAGTCTGGAGTGCAGTGGCACAATCTCGGCTCACTGAAAGCTCCATCTCCCAGGTTCACGCCATTCTCCTGCCTCAGCCTCCCGAGTAGCTGGGACTACAGATGCCGGCCACCACTCCTGGCTAATTTTTTGTATTTTTAGTAGAGACGGGGTTTCACCGTGTTAGCCAGGATGGTCTCGATCTCCTGACCTCATGATCTGCCCACCTCAGCCTCCCAAAGTGCTGGGATTACAGGCATGAGCCACCATTCCCGACTTTTTTTTTTTTTTTTTGTAGAGAAAGGGTCTCACTGTGAATGTCACCCAGGCTAGCTATTTTCAAACATTTATTGCTTTGGAACCAGAGCCCATATGTGGATAAAGGTAGGTAGCATTACTCTTGATGATGCAGGCATGAGTGATGTCCTCTCCATTCCCCAATCCTCGAGCCCCTTGAAATGCTATTTGAGGAATGCTATCAAAACACCAGTGCTCTTTGAGAGAATGGTGCAAAAATTTAAAAAAACAGCCTTTGGCTGGGAATGGTTGTTCACGCCTATAATCCAAGCATTCTGGGAGGCTGAGGCAGGAGGATCGCCTGAAGCCAGCTGGAGAACAGCCCAGACAACATAGCAAGACCTCATCTCTATTTTAAAGTTATAAAATAAAATAACTGTGGCCGGGCACGGTGGCTCACGCCTATAATTCCAGCACTTAGGGAGGACGAGGCGGGCGAATCACGAGGTCAGGAGTTCGACACCAGCCTGGCCAACATCGTGAAACCCCATCTCTACTAAAAATACAAAAAATTAGCTGGGCATAGTGGCAGACGCCTGTAATCCCAGCTACTCGGGAGGCTGAAGCAGGAGAATCACTTGAACCCGGGAGGTGGAGGTTGTAGTGAGGCGAGATCGAGCCACTGCACTCCAGCCTGGGTGACAGAGTGAGACTCCATCTCAAGAAAAATAAATAAATAAAAATAATCGTAATAAATAGCAGTTTTAAAAACGTCCTTATCTTGCCAAAAATAAAGTTGGCAGTTCTCTGCCCCAATTTTTGTAAAATTCTGAAAGTCTTTAAAACCCAGCGTCTAGGCCATGTGCGGTGGCTCATGCCTATAATCCCAGAACTTTAGGAGGCCAAGGTGGGCGGATCACTTGAGGCCAGGACTTCAAGACCAGCCTGGCCAACACGGCGAATCCCCATCTCTACTAAAAATACAAAAATTGGCCGGGCGTGGTGGCTCACGCCTATAATCTCAGCACTTTGGGAGGCCGAGGCGGGTGGATCACGAGGTCAGGAGATCGAGACCATCCTGGCTAACACGGTGAAACCCCGTCTCTACTAAAAATACAAAAAATTAGCCGGGCATGGTGGCGGGCACCTGTAGTCCCAGCTACTTGGGAGGCTGAGGTAGAAAAATGGCGTGAACTGGGAGGCAGAGCTTGCAGTGAGCGGAGATCACACCACTACACTCCAGCCTGGGTGACAAAGCAAGACTCCGTCTCAAAAAAAAAAAAATACAAAAATTAGCTGGGCATTGTGGTGTGCACCTGTAATCCCAGCTACTCAGGAGGTGAGGCACGAGAATCACTTGAACCCAGGAGGAAAAAAAAAATTTAAAAATAAAATATAAAAATACAAAAATTAGCTGTGTGTGGTGCATGCCTGTAGTCCCAGGTATACAGGAGGCTGAGGCACGAGAATCATTTGAACACAGGAGGTAGAGGTTGCAGTGAGCCAAGATCATGCCACTGCATTCCAGCCTCGGTGACAGAGTAAGGATCTGTCTCAAAAAAAAAAAAAAAAAAAAAAGACCCACTTAAATATGCTCTAGGAAATTAATTTAAATGAACTAGTACTAGGCAATCATTATTTTTTTTGAGACAGAGGGTGAGTCTCTGCCTAATAACAAAAACAAAAACAAACACCCAGTATCTGAAACCCACTGCCTCAGTAATGTTCTCACCATATTGCTAGCTGCTGAAAAACATTTGACAGCACCCCACCATCTCCAGCAGTGAAATAACATTTGGGAATTGTACAAAGTGGTGTCATTTTATTAAGTCCCTTAAGGAGGGGGAGATACATAGCACAAAAGTGGTCTGACAACAAACATAAGAGAAAGAACTTTTGGCCAGGCGTGGTGGCTCACACCTGTGATCCCAGCACTTTGGGAGGCTGAGGCAGGAGGATCACTTGAGGTCAGGAGTTTGAGGCCAGCCTGGCCAACATGGTGAAACCCCATCCCTACTAAAAATACAAAAAATTAGCTGGGAGTGGTGGCATGCACCGGTAATCCCAGCTATTCGGGAGGCTGAGGTGGAAGAATCACTTGAACCCAGGAGGCAGAGGTTGCAGTGAGCCAAGATCGCGCCACCGCACTCCAGCCAGGGCAACAGAGTGAGACCCTGTCTCAAGGAAAAAAAAGGAGAAAGATCTTCTTTCTCATCCCAACAGAAAAGTCACTTTAAAGCCACACACATATTGGCTCACACCTGTAGTCACTGCACTTTGAGAGGCTGAGGTGGGAGGATCACTTGAGTCCAGGAGTTCAAGACCAGCCTGGGCAACACGGCCGAGACTCTGTCTCTATGAAAAATTTTAAAAATAATATAAAAAGGCCGGGTGCAGTGGCTCACGTCTGTAATCCCAGCACTTTGGGAGGCCGAGGCAGGTGGATCACGAGGTCAGGAGTTCAAGACCAGCCTGACGAAGATGGTGAAACCCGATGTCTACTAAAAATACAAAAATTAGCCAGGTATGGTGGCAGGCACTTGTAATCCCAGCTACTTGGGAGACTGAGGCAGGAGAATCACTTGAACCCAGGCAGCAGAGGTTGCAGTGACCCGAGATCATGCCACTGCACTCCAACCTGGGTGACAGAGTGAGACCCCATCTCAAACAAAAATAAATAAATAAATAGAAAAAAAAGAAGGCTGGGCGCAGTGGCTCACACCTGTAATCACAGTACTTTGGGAGGCCGAGGTGGGCAGATCACAAGGTCAGGAGATTGAGACCATCCTGGCCAACGTGGTGAAACCCCTTCTCTACTAAAAATACAAAAATTAGCTGGGCGTGGTGGTGCATGCATATAATCCCAGCTACTCGGGAGGCTGAGGCAGGATAATCACTTGAACCAGGGAGTCGGAGGTTACAGCACCACTGCACTCCAGCCTGGCGTAGACTCGACCAGAGCGAGACTCGTCTCAATAAAAAAAAGAAAAAAGAAAAAGAAAAGAAATGTTACTACGGCCGGGTGCAGTGGCTCACACTTGTAATCCCAGTACTTTGGGAGGCTGGGGTGGGCAGATCACGAGGTCAGGAGTTGGGAGACCAGCCTGGCCAACATGGTGAAACCCTGTCTCTACTGAAGATACAAAAAATGAGCCAGGCGTTGTGGCGCATGCCTGTAATCCCAGCTACCAGGGAGGCTGAGGCAGGAGAATCACTTGAACCCGGGAGGCAGAGGTTGCGGTGAGCCGAGATCACGCCATTGCACTCCAGCCTGGGCGACAGGGCAAGACTCTGTCTCAAAAACAAAATAAAATAAAAAAAATAAAGGTACTTTAGGGCCTAGGGTTATAACACAACAGTTAGGCTTCCCATGTAAAAGGCCCAGGAAGGAGAAAAGAGGAGAATCAAAAACAAGTCATCACACCAAATTGCCTAAGACTGATAGTGATTACCGTACTTGTCTTGCTCTGTGGCCCCAATCTATACACATCAATATCACTTGCATTGCCAGTGCTACAAATGGAAACCTGTGTTCTAAAACGCAAAGGCCCTTAAGTCCCTCTCCTCACCATTCCCTGCCCTGTCAACGTGTAACCCATGAAAAAATTATCTCACATAGAAATGTGGAAGACAGCCAGACACAGTGGCACACACCTGTAATTCCAGCACTTTGGGAGGCCAAGGTGGCAGGACTGCTTGAGCCCAAGAGTTTCAGACTAGCCTCGGCAACACAGTGAGACTCTGCCTCTCCAAATAATTAAAAAATTAGCTGGGCATGGTGGCATATAGCCCCAGCTATTCAGGAGGCTGAGTGAGCTATGGTGGTGCCACTGCACTACAGCCTGGACAACAGAGTGAGACCCCCATCTCAAAAAAATAAATGTGGAAGACGCTTTTGGGAAGAGAATACAATTGATCCCATCTTTCTAAAGGATAATGAGGTAACAGGTATCAATATTTTAAATGTACTTTTTTTTTTTTTTTGAGATGGAGTCTCAGTCTGTCGCCCAGGCTGGAGTGCAGTGGCCTGATCTCAGCTCACTACAACGTCCGCCTCCCGGGTTCATGTGATTCTCCAGCCTCAGGCTCCTGAGCAGCTAGGATTACAGGCGCACAACACAACATCTGGCTAATTTTTGTATTTTTAGTAGAGATGGAGTTTCACCATGTTGGCCAAGCTAGTCTCAAACTCGTGACCTCAGGCATCCACCCGCCTCGACTTCCCAAAGTGCTGGGATTACAGGTATGAGCCACCGCATCTGGCCTAAATGTACATATTATTTAAAGGACTGTACAGATAAGTACAGGGCCAGGTGTGCTGGCTCATGCGCGTAACCCCAGCACTTTGGGAAGCTGAAGCAAGAGGACTGCTTGAACTCAAAGAATTTGAAACCAGCCTGAGCAACAAAGTGAGGCACTGTCTCTAATTTTTAAATAAATAAATATTATTTTAAGAAAGAAAGTAGGACTAGGCGCAGTGGCTCACGCCTGTAATCCCAACACTTTGAGAGGCTGAGGCAGGTGGATCACAAGGTCGAGAGTTCAAGACCAGCCTGGCCTAGATGGTGAAACTCCATCTCTACTAAAAATACAAAATTTAGCCGGGCATGGTGGTGGGCACTTGTAATCACAGCTACTAGGGAGGCTGAGGCAGAGAATTGCTTGAACCCAGGAGGCAGAGGCTGCAGTGAGCCGAGATTACGCCATTGCAGTCCAGCCTAGGTGACAGACTGAAACTCCATCTCAAAAAAAAAAAAAAAGAAAGAAAAAAAGCTGGACAGAATCATATTTCAGTTGTGTCACTTACTAGTTTTGTAGACTTGAACAAGTGGTATAGCTGATCTAAGCCTCAGTTTCCTCGTGTAAAACAGCAATAGTATATATTACTTAGCAGTGTTTGAGAAATCAATCAATAAATGTATTCAGAATAGTGGTTAGTCAATACGTCTTCGGATATTATTTTTCTTTCTTTAAGCACCTATCATATAACTGGCCTATGCTAGGTATTAGATACACTACATGGTTTCACCATGTTGGCCAGGCTGTTCTCGCTCTCTTGACCTCGTGATCCACCCGCCTCAGCCTCCCAAAGTGCTGGGATTACAGGCATGAGCCATCGTGCCCGGCCTATGGCCTGTTCTTTTTTTTCTTTTTTTTTTTTTTTTTTTTTGAGACGGAGTCTTGCTCTGTCACCCAGGCTGGAGTGCGGTGGCACCATCTTGGCTCACTGCAAGTTCCGCCTCCCAGGTTCACGCCATTCTCCTGCCTCAGACTCCCAAGTAGCTGGAACTACAGGAGCATGCCACCACGCCTGGCTAATTTTTTGTATTTTTAGCAGAGACAGGGTTTCACCATGTTAAACAGGATGATCTCAATCTCCTGACCTTGTGATCCGCCTGCCTCGGCCTCCCAAAGTGCTGGGATTACAGGCGTGAGCCACCGCGCCCGGCCTGGCCTGTTCTTTTTTTGAGACAGAGTCTTCCTCTGTCAACCAGGCTGGAGTAAAGTGATACAATCATGGCTCACTGCAGCCTTGACCTCCTGGGTTCAAGTGATCCTCCCACCTCAGCCTCCCGAATAGCTGAGACTACAGGCATGTACACTACACCTGGCTAATTTTTTATAGAAATAGAGGTCTCATCACTATGTTGCCCAGACTAGTCTCGACATCCTGGACTCAAGTGATCCTCCTGCCTCAGCCTCCCAAAGTGCTGAGATTACAGGTGTGAGCCACCATGGCCAGCCTAGTACTTACTTTTTTTTTTTTTTGAGACAGAATCTCACTCTGTCACCCAGCTGGAGTGCAGCAGTGTGATCTCAGCTCACTGCAACCTCTGCCGCCCAGGTTCAAGCGATTCTCCTGCCTCACCCTCCCGAGTAGCTGGGATTACAGGCACCAGCCACCGTGCCCGGCTAATTTTTGTATTTTTAGTAGAGACAGGGTTTCACCATCTTGACCGGGCTGGTCTTGAACTCCTGACCTCGTGATTCGCCCACCTTGGCCTCCCAAAGTGCTGGGATTACAGGCATGAGCCACACGTCCAGCCCGTGAGCCACTGCGCCTGACCTGTATTTACTCTTTAAACTATATATTGCTTTGTATTGTTTTCCAATACACGATACAATCTCTAAGCTTATCTGTAAATTTAAGGCACAAGGCATTTATTTATTGCTAAATTTTAAAATTTTTCTTAGAGATGGGGTCTTGCTCTATTGCCTGGGCTAGAGTGCAATGGAGTAATCACTGCTCACTGCAGCCTCAAACTCCTGGGCTCAAGCTTTCCTCCTTCCTCAGCCTCCCAAAGTGCTGGGATTACAGGCTTGAGCCACTGCACCCTATCCATTTATTTCTTCTGTACATCTTCCACCTCGCCTAGCCCTGAAATATTTCTCAAATTAAAGAGGTTCCAGGGCCCTGGGCACACCCACCCCCAACAGACTTGTTGGAACAGGTACCTACCTCAGGTCATTCTTTAGTTCCACGACCACATCCTTGCCCACAAGGGACTTGAAAAAAGAATAGAAGAGCTATTGGGAGAGAGGGGGAAAACCATCATGTGGGAAGGAGCATGGTAGGGAGGAGTGTCCTTTGACAGTATTACCAAATACTGGTATTGTGAACCCCACTGCATCCCTGACAGTTCTCAAAATTTCACAGGAAAGAATAATTGGTTGACAGAGCTGAAAGGCTGGAGCCCAAATTATTCTGCACACTGCACTGAGCCCATCACTTAAAGTCCCAGAGAGACTCTGCCCTGCATACGTCGGCCTCCCCACTGTGCTCTCTCAGTCGACCACCTTTCTCGGGTACCTGCCCACTCCTTTCAATGAATTGTAGAAAATATCCCACCCGCACCCTGCCGAAGCTTGCCTGGCAGAGAAGTGCTCTGAGGTCTAACTTTTCCGTCTCCCGCTATCCTCACTGAATCTCTCTCAGGGTTGGGGTTTTTTCCCTCATCATGGAAAAAATATCCCATTTGTTCTCAGTGCCTCCTCAATGAACCTGAGAAACAGTACAGTACTAAAGATGAAGATAAAAACTCCGGACCTAACTCCAGCCTAGGGGTACAAAGGCCAGATCCCCCGCCCCAACCATGCGAGGTCCCCGAGGGCGCCCCCTTTTGACGTCACGGTACCCACCATGGTGCTGGCGCCGCGGGCAGCGGGCCGGACCGGGAAGACAGCAGGGTGCTGCGAGCAGGTCTGGGGAAACCGAAGCGCGAGCCCGCGCGTGGGGCGAGGCGGGACCGCGCAGGCGCAGCGGGAAGCGACGCAGAAAGCTCCAAGCGCTGACGGGCAAAGCGCGGCCGACTTGCGGCTGGGGAGCGCAAGCTGGGTAGAGTAGAGGGGAGGAGGAAGCCGGGAAAGGGGCGGGGTTTCCTTCATTCCGACTTCCTCCCTGGCCGGCCGGCTCCCATTGCGCAGGCGCGGACCCTAGCCTGGGCTGCCAGACGGGTGGCGGGACTCAGCGCCTGAGCTCAAAGGATTTTGTTCTTTTCCAGAATCCTGCCATCTACAGCGTGATGTGTTTGTGCCCTACACACACTTCCTATCGAGAATTGTGGGGAGTTTGTTAAGATTATGAAGTGTGCACTTTTCTATATTTGTTAAAGTAAAAACATAAAATTTAAAAAATAAAATTAAAAAATGTTTTGAATCTTAAATTCAGCTGATAAAAAGAAAAAAAGGCCGAGGGCCGTGGCTCAAGCCTTTAATCCCAGCACTCTGGGAGGCCTAGGTGGGTGGATTGTGTGAGGTCAGGAGTTCGAGACCAGTCTAGCCAACATGGTGAAACCCCATCTTCACTAAAAATACAAAAAAAATTAGGCGTGGTCGCAGGCTCCTGTAATACCAGCTACTCGGGAGGCTGAGGGAAGAGAATCGCTTGAACCTGGGAGGCGGAGGTTGCAGTGAACCGAGATCGCGCCACTGCACTGCAGCCTGGGCGACAGAGCAAGACTCCGTCTCAAAAAAAAAAAAAAAAAAAATGACCGGGAGCAGTGGCTCACACCTGTAATCCCAGCACTTTGGGCGGCCAAGGCAAGTGGATCGCCTGAGGTCAGGAGTTCGAGACCAGCCTGGTCAACATGGCGAAATTCTGTCTCTACTAAAAACCCAAAAATTAGCCGGGTGTGGTGGCACGCGCCTGTAAATCCAGGAGGCATAGGTTGCAGTGAGTGGAGATCTTGCCATTGCACTCCAGCCTGGGCAACAAGAGCAAAACTCCATCCCAAAAAACAAAAAATGTTGAGGCCTGTAAATCCCAGCATTTGGGGAGGCTGAGGCAGGAGGATCATTTGAACCCAAGAGTTACAGTGAGCTACAATCTCCCCACTGCATTCCAGCCTGGGTGACAGAGCGAGACTCTCTCTAGAAAAAAGAAAATTATAAACAAACAACGTTGAGCAGTCCCAGAGATAAGGAGGAGCTGGAGCACAAATTTTGATTTTATCAAAGGTTACCAATAAATACATTTCTCCAAAGGAGCCAACCTCAATCTCCGCATTTCTTACACACTTTTGCCAAGACTGTCCTGTAAAGGACTGTGTAAAACTAAAGAGACTGTGGCTCACAGATACAAATAACCCAGTCTAACATTTCACTGTTAAATGTTTCAAACACAAACAGACAGAAATGCAGTTACATATTATTCTAACTCATATCCCCCAGGTTTTTATAAATATGTATTAGGACACAGGTAAAAGAAAAAAATGTTTTTGAGATGGAGTCTCGCTCTATCACCAGGCTGGAGTGTGGTGCCACGATCTCAGCTCACTGCAACCTCCACGTCCCGGGTTCAAGCGATTCCTCTGCCTCACCCTCCTGAGTAGCTGGGACTACAGGCACGCATCACCGTCCTCAGCTAATTTTTGTATTTTTAGTAGAGACGGGGTTTCACCATGTTGGGCAGGATGGTCTCAATCTCTTGACCTCATGATCCGCCCGCCTCGGCCTCCCAAAGTGCTGGGATTACAGGCGTGAGCCACTGTGCCCAGCTGGTAAAAATATTTTTTCATGGACTGAGACTTCATAAAACTTGTATTTGTCATCTTGCATAGACATACTTATTTGTCAAGAGTTTGTTATAGAAATATTTTCTGGGGCTGGGCACGGTGGCTCACGCCTATAATTCCAGCACTTTGGGAGGCTGAGGTGGGTGGATCACCTGAGGTCAGGAGTTCAGAACAGCCTGGTCAACATGGTGAAATCCCGTCTCTACTAAAAACACAAACATTAGCCGGGCATGGTGGTGAGCGCCTGTAATCCCAGCTACTCATGAGGCTGAGGCAGGAGAATCGCTTGAATCTGGGAGGCAAAGTTTGCAGTGAGCCGAGATCGTGCCATTGCACTCCAGCTTGGGCGACAAGAGCGAAACTGTTTCCAAAAAAAAAAAAAAAGAAAAGAAATATTTTCTCCATGTAATGGATGTAAACAATGAACTCTGTGAGTGCATAGATGCTGAATCTCCTGGACCTTACCTATAAGTGACATCAGGACATCAAGCAGGATTTGTCCCTCCACCCCCAGTTGAGTCCTAAACTCCAAAACCAGCTTGTAACTGATTAAAAGCAGTTATAGTTTGCCATCTGTTCCATCTGTGCTAAAGGTGTCTGAGGATCAAAAATTATGTGGCTGATTGAAACAATGAGTTCATGGGCCGGGCACGGTGGCTCACGCCTGTAATCCCAGCACTTTGGGAGGCCGAGGCGGGCGGATCACGAGGTCAGGAGATCGAGACCATCCTGGCTAACACAGTGAAACCCCGTCTCTACTAAAACAATACAAAAAATTAGCCGGGCATGGTGGGGGGCACCTGCAGTCCCAGCTACTCGGGAGGCTGAGGCAGGAGAATGGCGTGAACCCAGGAGGCAGAGCTTGCAGTAAGCTGAGATTGTGCCACTGCACTCCAGCCTGGGTGACAGGGCGAGACTGTCTCTCAAAACACACACACACACACACACACACACACACACACACACACACAAAATGAGTTCATGAAAATTCAAATACTTTACCCTTACCAATTTAATCATTCACAGTGACCTCACAATCAGAGAACACATGCTCTCTCCATGAACTCTCCCCTTCAAGGTACATTCACAGCCTAAATACCAGAAGTAATTTTCTTTACGAACAAATTTACTGATTGACAAATAAGCATCCACACAGGAAGAAGAATGTTAGGGTGGCTGGAAATAACAGACATTCAAATACATCACACGGTTTAAAGAGGGGCCTAGTTTTCCTGAGTCCATTCCAAAGTCAGAAACAGGATGTGAGGGAGTGTGATAGGTGGTGCATGAGACTCCTTCTCCAGAATTTCCAAGGGATGGTAACTTAGATTCAGGTCTGGTCAAGAATAATAATGATGTTTGAAGATGAGGGGAATGAAATACATGTAGAGGCATCCTAGGATGCTTCAGTTCTAAAAAGAATTAATCTACTTCTTCAATTGTGGGGCCTGTGGCAGGCCTTCCAGGCACATACCCTGTTCCGCAGGCAGGCCCAGTGCATCCTCCTTGGTAGAGTTTTGTGATGATAGGGTTACACATCTGCTCCAATTCCTTTCTCTTATGATCAAACTCATCTTTCTCTGCCAGTTGATTGACCTCCAGCCACGAAAGGAGCTCGTTGCATTTATCCAATATTTTATTTTTATCAGACTCACTAATCTTGCCCTTCAAACCTTCATCACTCACAACACTCTTCATGTTAAAAGCATAGGATTCTAAGGCATTCTTTGCAGCAATTTTCTCCCTCTGGACCTCATCTTCAGCTTTATATTTCTCAGCATCCAGAACCATGCGCTCAATCTCCTCCTTGCTCAGGCGGCCCTTGTCATTGGTGATGGTGATCTTGTTCACCTTGCCGGTGCTCTTGTCCGTGGCTGTGACATTGAGAATACCATTGGCATCAATGTCAAACGTCACCTCGATCTGAGGAACTCCCCTGGGTGCTGGAGGGATTCCAGTCAGGTCAAACCGCCCCAGCAGGTTGTTGTCCTTTGTCATGGCCCTCTCGCCCTCATACACCTGGATCAGCACCCCGGGTTGGTTGTCAGAGTAGGTGGTGAAAATCTGTGTCTGCTTGGTGGGGATGGTGGAGTTGCGCTTTATCAGGGCAGTCATCACGCCCCCAGCCGTCTCCAGCCCCAGGGACAGGGGAGCCACGTCCAGCAGCAGCAGGTCCTGTACCTTCTCAGACTTGTCCCCCATCAGGATGGCTGCTTGTACCGCAGCCCCATATGCTACGGCCTCATCAGGGTTGATGCTCTTGTTGAGATCACGTCCATTGAAGTAGTCCTGAAGCAGCCGCTGCACCTTGGGGATGCGGGTGGAGCCCCCTACTAAAACAATGTCATGGATTTTAGCCTTATCCATCTTGGCATCCCGAAGCGCTTTTTCTACAGGCTCCAGGGTACCCCTAAACAGGTCTGCACACAACTCTTCAAATCGAGCTCTGGTGATGGATGTATAGAAGTCAATGCCTTCATAAAGTGAATCAATTTCTAGGTTGGCCTGGGTGCTGGACGACAGGGTCCTCTTGGCCCTCTCGCAGGCGGTGCGCAGCCGCCTCACGGCTCGCTTGTTCTGGCTGATGTCCTTTTTGTGTTTCCTCTTGAACTCCTCCACGAAGTGGCTCACAAGCCTGTTGTCAAAGTCCTCCCCACCCAGGTGAGTGTCCCCAGCAGTGGCCTTTACCTCAAAAATCCCATCATCTATGGTCAGAATTGACACATCAAATGTGCCTCCACCCAGATCAAAAATCAGGACATGTCGTTCTCCTTGACCTCCTTTATCTAAACCATAGGCAATGGCAGCAGCCGTGGGCTCATTGATGATTCTTAGCACATTAAGTCCAGCAATCACACCTGCATCCTTAGTAGCCTGACGTTGAGAGTCATTGAAATAGGCTGGCACGGTAATCACTGCATTGGTGACAGGGTGGCCCAAAAAGGCCTCAGCAGTCTCCTTCAACTTAGTCAATACCATCGAAGAGATTTCCTCAGGGTAGAAAGCTTTATTCTCCCCTTTGTAGGACACAAGGACTTTGGGCTTGCCTCCTTCATTAATCACTTGAAAAGGCCAAAGTTTCATATCTGCTTGTACAACAGGATCATTAAATTTCCTGCCGATCAGACGTTTAGCATCAAAAACAGTGTTCTGGGGATTCATTGCTACCTGGTTCTTGGCCGCATCCCCAATGAGCCGCTCGGTGTCTGTGAAGGCCACGTAGCTGGGGGTGGTGCGGTTGCCCTGGTCGTTGGCGATGATCTCCACCTTGCCGTGCTGGAACACCCCCACACAGGAGTAGGTGGTGCCCAGGTCGATG